>NC_000012.12:74732855-74884370 GCF_000001405.40 Homo sapiens
ACTTTCTTCAGATGTAAACTTCAAATGCAACTACCCTTAGAATAAGCTGCCTTCACAAGTAGAGCTTCTTAACATCTGGTTTGTGGCTGAAAGCAAAGAAGACGAATGAGCGAGGCGCAAAGGCACCGGGCCTCTGAACACAAGAGAAGGGACAGAGCCTGGGATGTGAAGATAAGCTTCCGTTTCTCACAAGCTTTTCTGTTCAGCCATATGCTGTCTGCTGGAGACCAATTAGGCATAAATTCATGGCTAATGAAGACAGTAATCTACACTCTTTACCCTTCACTGGTGAGAGGAAGGAACAATGACTGTGGTCTGGAATAATGTGACCTAACAGACTGCTAGCAGAAATGAGAGTTTTAGCAACTTATCATGTATGTAGGTTAAATATGATGTCCCTTTGCCTTTCTTCTTGCTGGCCTATTTTGATGATGGAGTCCATACTTTACCATTAGTAGATTGTGTCAATTGGTTTCTGTAAGCTTATAAGAAAGCTTGCTAACTAGCTTGTTTACTATTTAGAATCTCACTATTAGAGAAATTATATTTGAAAGGCATTTTAGCTGAAAGCAAGGAAAAAGAAGACAGTCTTGAAAAAGATGCCATTTAAATAAAAATGTGTTTAATTTGTCATGAATAGAAGATTAATATAAGTGTTTTCTATTCCTAAATTCCAGCCATAAATAGAACTCCTCAATTTGTTTCTTTTATCTTTTCTACCCAATCAGAAATGAACAAATGACACAACAGGCCTTTTTTTTTTTTTAATCTATTTGCCACTTGATTTACCAATATGGCAATTAGTTGAAAAAATCTTTCTATTTTTTAATTGTCTTATCTCTTTAGATGTGCTAAATATGTAGATATGCTAAATATGTAGATATGCAGAAATGCTAATGTTAAAAATTAAATTCTAAGAACCTATTCAATCAGATTTTCTATATGCTAATAAAGTCTAATTAAATATTATGACAATGAAATGCTCTAATTATTTGTGATTTCTCAGTAGGTACAAATTTACTCAAATTTTCCTGCAGAAAGAAGTATATAATTCTATATTGTTAGCTGTTATTTACTCATTTCATTTATTCAGTATTGTTAGGTGCTAATTAGATCAAATACTATAAATGTTCCTTTCCTAACTTTAATGAAAGGATAAAAAAAGTACTAACTAAACATTACTAAATGCTTAGCATTCTTGTTAACTATTGTTTGAGAAAGATGTACAGATAATGGTCTCTTACTCCAATAATTTAAAACAAAATTGAAAATCCATGACTAACCATATGCAATACAACATGGGATATGGATAAAATGTATCTACCAGCTTTGTGTGGATAAATGGATTCTCTATTCTGAATCAATACTTTCAAGATGCAGCAAAGGAAAGCAACAAAGTCATGAAGATGGTGGGAAAAAATCAGCATCCAAAATAGCCTCATTTTAATCTCCAAGTCGTGGATGATATACATCAACTGAGCTATAAATGTCTAGAATGTGTCAAGGTATCTGAGGTTCTTATCTATTTTATGAACCTCAAGAAACTGCCAAGAAAGTTGGCTTTTCAAAGCAGAATGGTATGGATTGTAATCATTGGAAAAATTGGTATAGTTGAGAAAGATCTTTTTTGGTATAATCAAAGTTGTGCAGGTTATTACAGCTTTGAATTCATTATAACATAAAAGTGCTAGAAAAAACACCAATCTTGAAAAATAGTATCATAAATTTAACTCAAGCGTTCCTCCTGAGCTTCAAAACCACAAATATATAACGACCTAGTGGACATCTCCAAATGACATTCTCTGGTAATCTCAAGCTCAATACGTCCAAAACAGAACTCATTATTTTTCTCTAAAATATGTTTGTCCTCTTCTGTGCTAAAATCCCAGTGAATGGTGTCATCATGCACCAAGTCACTAAAGCAAGAAACTTGGGAGTAATTTTAAACTCTTTACCTGCCCACATTCAATCAATCATCAAGTTCTGTTTATGTAACTTCATAAATGTCTCTTGATTCTCTAAATTGCACTCCTCTAACTCTGTCCACCATTAAATTTAATCTTGAGCATGGCTACAACCTCCTCATTTTGCTCTCTGTCTTCCATTCAGCACTTCTCCAATTCAGCCTTCACACAGCAGCCAAATACATTTTCCTAAAACCCACAAGGGAACCTGACATTTCTCTGTTTAAACCTTTGTGGCGTTTCCCATTGCCTTTGGGGTGGGGGTAACCAACCCTATATAATCTGTTTATCAGATTCTATAAATGAACCCTTTCCTTCATTTCTTGTATCTGCTATCACTACTCCAAAACAATGTACTCTGGGTTTCATCCATAGGGACTACTATCATTTTTTTTCTAAAGCTCTGTGCACTACTGTGAATGATGATTATATATTAAGTCATTAAGTCAAGTTAGTGGGTCATTCTTAATAACTTTAAAATGAAAAAAATTAGAATTTTAATAATAAAATGGCATAAACCAGAAATATATTTTGCCACATGTATATACATACAAAATGTTGTATATATTAAGCTATGTAAAAGTTTTAAAAACATTCTACTAATTAATACATACTTAATCACTTTGAGCCATATATATATCTTTGGCTTTAAATGGCCACCACTACGACCACCAACAAACACCTTCTTGCAACATATCTTCTTTTCTGCACATCTTTGCCTGGATAAATCCTACTCACCATTTAAGTCTGAGCTTTTCTCTTACCTCCTATAGGACCTGAAACTTGAAGGTTCTTGGTACTCTTGTAGCACAATGTACTGCCAACTCAATAGTATTGTTGTATACTACATATATTTTTGTAGTAAAATGATGATATTATTGTTTTTTATTTTTAAATTTTTTTATTTCAATCGTTTCTGAGGTACAGGTGGTTTTTGATTACATAGAGAAGTTGTTTAGTGGTGATTTCTGAGATTTTAGTGCACCCATTACCCGAGCAGTGTACACTGTACCTAATATGCAGTCTTTTATCTCTCATTCCCCTCTCAACATTACCCACCCACAAGTCCTCAAAGTCTATTATATAATTCTTATGCCTTTCCATCCTCACAGTTTACTCCCACTTATAAGTGAGAACATACGATATTTTTCTATAGTACATTTTAATTTCCTATTTATATTAGATAATAATTTATAGGATGTGAGCAAATATATCTTCTTATATTTTAACATATTCATCCTATCTTTTATAGCACCTGGCACATTATTGTAAGTACTTAATAAATATATGCTGAACGAAAAAATAAATTTTCTGAAAATTCTGGCTCATCCATCCTCTCTTTTTTGTTCCTGAGTCATAATATTCCTTTTTTTCATAATGTATTCTGTATCTTCGTCCTTTGACTATCTAGAGCGTAATGGTATTTTCCTATATTTTCAAATAAAAAGTTTCTAATTGAATAATTAAAGTATTTAAATTGTTCATTAAAATATGAAATAAAATAATTTTGTATTTAAATTACAGCTTTTCTCAATTTTCTGAGCATTACTGGCATGCATATTAATCTTCGGGTTCATAGTGTAAAATTTTATGAATCATTAAAGATGTGCACATGTGTGTAAAGAGATAAAGGAAAATAAAATAATATTACTCAATATGTTAGTACTGATCATTTCATGTTGTTTTCTGAATGACAAAGGTAGATAAATCAAAATACAAAAACATGAATATTTCTGATGTAATATAGTTCAAGGTGACCCTAATTTCATGAGTTACAGAATATATTTGGATGGTGCTTCTATATTGCTCACTGTATACATTTTCCTAATTCTTGATTGCAAAAGCAGATGGATAATGTTAAGACTTTATTTTATGGGAAATTAGACATTATAAACATAGCTCTAAAATATGTTTTATTTATTTAGAAATGTTCTCATTTAACATGTGACCAGAAGGCAAAATTATTTTGCTGATATTTCAAACTACTTACTACTCTAAACATATAAAGTGATGTAAGTGGCAACGCCAGATGTGACTAATTATCACAAAAGCACTTCCTTAATCTAGGATCTGGAAAAGTCTATAGCTAAACAGTTCTTATATTTGATATCTGAACCTCGATTTACACTGGAAGCTGTTACGAAGCAAAAAATAACACAACTCTAAAAATAATTGGCTCCAAAATCTGAAGGTAGAAAGATCCCGGTTATGGAAATAAAGATTAAGATCAATGTATTTGTAATTTAATATTGGTTGAAATTTAAATTGGAACTGGGATGCTGAAATATTAATAATAGCTAATTAAAATTTCAGAGAAAATGATATATCTGTTTACAGAATTATTTGAACAGACATTGTGTAGAGATTACAATCCATCAAAAAAATAAAGAAGAGGTCTAAATGCTACCATAAAATTTAAATTAAATCAATAGTCATTCTGGGCTCAGTCATCATTGAGACTTTTTCTTATAAAATAAATCTAAAAATAGTAGCAATTCCTATGTGCCAAGACTTGGTCTTTGGGCTTTATCTATTGCTCCACACAGTATCTGTTGGTTCTTCATGCCATTCTCTCCCTCCTGTATTGTCTCTGCACTACAGGATTAGAAAACTTCATTTCCCAGATGCCCTTGACAGCTGGGTTACTAATCTTGTCTGAGATTAAAAGGGGGGAAAATATGGGAAAGAGATGATGATGATACTTCTGGCTCTGGCATTGGTGGGTAAACCCAGGCTCCAGTAGCATATGCTGTGGTTTCAGCCTATGCATCAAGAAGAATGCAGATTTTGGGTTCCTATGAGCTCCCTGGTCACTTTTCAGATAATAATAATGGCAATTATAACAGTAGCTGTTCCAGCAGCTGTGCTCCAGTGGCATCATGGGACAATGTGGCCCTTTCCTCATTCTCAAGGGTAGCAGCAGCTTCCTGCAGTTACTATAAATGTCTCTGGGTAAGGCCCCTATTGTTTTTCCAACCCTTTCAAAACATTTAAATTCAATTCCTTATATTGATTTCTAGTTCATTTTTGATACATGGAATAGTTTCTATTTTATTAATAGTTTATTGTAGTTTCTATTAACTGGACATATAATAATAAATATATTGACTCATTTAATCTCTACACACTATGTTCTAAGATAGTTATTTTATTCTCTTCATTAAAAAGATGAGAAAAGAGAAGCACAGAGTGATTGAATAACTTTCCAGAGATTAGCCATCTGTTTCTAGCATTTAGGCTTTTAACTGCTATACTATGCTGGTTAAACCAAATACCCTTATTCTATTACGAGGAGGTTTATTTCCACAAGATTGTTTGCTGGTAACCTTGAGATTGTGCATGTATATTACAGGAAACTACATTTGCCAAGAATTGGAGAAAATTAAGTTTGCATTCTACAGCTGTGAACTATGCACGTACTAGACAGCTGAAATTGCTATATTACCTTAAATAATCAATCTTCTTTGACCTCACAATTCTATTTTTCTTTGTTTTAGCAGCTTTAATTTTATTTATTTATTTGTTTTGTCAATAGTTTAGAGGTACAATGGTTTTTAGTTACATGGATGAATTGTACAGTGATAAAGTCTGGGTTTTAGGGTACCCTATATACCCTGATAGTACACATTTTACCCAACAGGTAATTCTTTATCCCTCACCAGCCCCCTCACACTCCTCCCTTCTAAATCTCCAATGTCCATTTTATCACTCTGTGTATACATCGTTTAGTTCCCACTTACTTATAAGTGAGGACATTCAGCATTTGGTTTTCTGTTCCTGAGTTACATCTCTTAAGGTAATGGTCTCCAGTTGCATCTAAGTTGCTGCAAAATACATTATTTTCTTCTTTTTTTATGCCTATTTTCCATTATTGCTTAAAAGTGAAAAGAAATTTAAGTGTTCAAGAAAATGCAAGAAATAATTGCACTTATATCAGAAATTGCTTAGTGATTTTGTCATTTAAATGGCAATAAATTGATAACACACAGAAATATAACTAAACAGAAAACAGAATGTACTTGTGCACATTAACTCATATTTCATGTGAGAATTAACTATGTGAGATATTGTAAAGAAACCTCTGAAATACTTGTAAGAGTAAGTAAATGAGCATGCTTTATCTAAGCAAGTACTACTTTAATGCAAACAAAGAAGTATGCTTTGTTAGTATTTTGTTATTTAAATAATAGACTCTATCATAAATGAAAGTCAGATCTATCTGTGAGAAATAATTTTAAAACTGTTTATATGATACGCAGAAATCACTTGTTGAAAGAATGTGATGAATACTGAAAAGCGTAACTCTAAGAAGCATAGTGATAGAAATTTAATGTGGGGAATAATAACATCTCTAAAATAATATGAGAGACAATTATGAATGAGCTATATTTTTTCAATCTCAGTAGCCATTTCTTCATTTATCCATCTACATAGTTACTAAAACCCTATCATATGCCTATTAGTTATTAAAAGCCTTCTAAGTATCAATGACCTCAAACCCACATTCTTCAAGGTTTGATTTTCCCTATTATGTACTGAGAATTCATAGGAGGAGGAGTTTTATGTGTCACTTGAGTTCTCTGCTTAGCAAAGGTCCCACAAAATGTCTGTGTCTCTCTGATTCCATTGTGAGCCATTTCTTCCTTGGCTGCCTTTCACAGTCTAAAACCCCTGGGCATGATCTTCTTTGGGTTATTTCTGAACTCCAAATTCTATTCCATTTGTCTCTCTATATATATCCTTCTGTTGGTATCACTCTCTTTTCATTACTGTCCCTTAGTGCAGTAGTTTCAAAATCAGGAAGTATGAGTGTCCAAATTTGTTCTTTTTCAAGATTGTTTTGGCTGGTTGGGGGCCCTTAAAATTTCATATGAATTCGAGCATCAAATTTTCTTCTTTTATAAAATATACCTGTTGGAATTTTAATAGAGACTTCACCGAATTTGTAAGTTTGCTTTGGGTAGTACTGACATCTTAACAATACTGATTCTTTCTACCCACGATCACAGAATGGCTCTACATTTATTTAGGTCTTTAAAAATTTATTTCATATTTGTTGTATAGTTTTCAGTAAACAAGTTTCTGACCTCCTTAGTTTAATTTATACCTAGATATATTTTCTTCTAAATTATATTATAAATGGAATAACTTATTAAATTTCCTGTTTGGGTTGCTCATTCCAGCCACCCAAACTGATAACACAACTGATTTTTGTGTGTTGATCTTTGAAACTGTAATGAATCCATTCATTATTTCAAGTAGCTGTCCTGTGAAATCTTTGGGATTTTGCTATATAAGATCATGCTATCTTTTACTAGAGATAATTTTAATTCTTCCTTTCTAACTTGGATGCTCATTTCTTTTTCTTTATTTTTATTGTCTAATTGCTCATGCTAGAATGTCCAATACTATGTTGAATAGCAGCAGAGAAAGTAGGCATCCTTATCTTATTCTTAGTTTTTGGAGAAAGCCTTATCTTCCATCAAGTATTATGTTAGCTGTGGGTTTTTCCTAAATGCCCTTTATTATGTTAAGTAAGTCCTGTTCTATTCCTGTTTTTCTGAGTATTTTTTATCATAAAAAGGGTTTGGATTTTGTCAAATATCTGTCTGCATCAATTGAAATAATCTTTTTATTTCATTTTGTTAATTAATTTTCTGAGGTTGACCCACTTGTGCATTCCTGAAATAAACTCCACTTGGTCATGATGTATAATCCTTTTAATATGCTGTTAGATTCAGTCTGCTAGCATTTTGCAGAGAATCTTTGCATCTATATTTCTAAGGGATATGTGTCTGTAATGTTCTCTTTTGTGATGTCTTTATCTAGCTTTAGCATCAGGATCATGCTGGATTCATAGAATGAGTTAGTAAGTATTCCCCCTTCTATTTTTTAGTCGTTTGAGAAAAATTGGCATTAATTCTTATTTAAATGTATAATGGAATTCACCAGTGAATCTCTCTGGTCTTGGATTTTTCTTTGTTGAGCAGTTTTTGAATACTGATTTAATTTCTTTATTATTACAGATCTGTTGAGGTTTGCTATTTCCTCTTGAGCAAGTTTGGGTAATTGGTGTGTTTCTAAGAATTTGTCCCTTTCAACAGGTTATCTAATTTGTTGGTGTACAATTGTTTGCAATATTTTGCTGTAGTCATTTTAATTTTTATAAAGTCTGTAAGATCTCTACTTTTATATTTTTTATTTTAGTTGTATTCTATTTTTTATTATTAGTCTAGTTAAGTTTGTCAGTTCTAGTTTGCAACACATATGCTCCTTGACTTGAAATGGGATTTGGTTCTGATAAAACTATCGTAAGTTGAAAATATTATAAGTTGAAAATGGATTTAATATACCTAATCTAATGAGCATGGTAGCATAGCCTAACCCACCTTAAACATGCTCAGAACACTTACATTAGCCTACGATTGAGCAAAAATCATCTGGCAACACAGTGTACTGTAGAGTATCAGTTGTCAGGAGTCACCACTTGTGACAGTGTGGTTGCCTGGGAGCTGCAGCTCACTGCCACAGCCTAGCAACATGGGTGAGTGTCATACATCATATTGCTAGCTCTGGAACAGATCAAAATTCAAAACTCAAAGTACGGTTTCTACTGAATGCGTATCACTTTTGCACCACCATAAAGTTGAAAAATCATATGACAAACCATTGCAAGTTGGAGGCCATCTGTATGTGTTATTTCTAAATGCCTCAATTACATCAAATAACCTAGTTCTTGGGCCATGGTTTGAACTTGAGAGAAACATGTGTAACAGGAAAAAACAGGAAACTCAATTAGTCTTAGACTGCCTTCACTAACGTAAGCTTCTTTGACATCAATTTTCAAATGGTCTTTCTGTTGGTAAAGTGAGAAAAAAGTGAATGAGAAAAAGGAAATGAGAAAGGAATATTCCCAAGGAATTTTAGCAAAGAATACATGTGGGAAATGAGTTCTCTTGAGTCTGTTTGTTTCATATATTTCTTAAAAAATGAATATATAATGCTGCTGTAAACTTTCTTGTTCATGTTTTTTGATGGGCAATACACTCATCTCTATTGGGTACATACCTAGGAATGCAAGTACTGGATCACAGAGTTTGCATATATTCAAATTTGATACTTCCAAGGTGGTTCTTCAGGAGCTTGCAGAAAAAATATGTCCCCAATAGAAGTATATGATTCCCAGCTGCTTCAGATGCTGTCAACACTTATATATGGCATGTTCAGCTTTATCTTTAAAACTGTGTCTATTCTAGTGTGTGAGAAGTGGTATCTCATTATGTTTTATCTTTTATTTCCTTGAGGACTGATGATATTGAGCACCTTTTCAAATGTTGATTGTTCATATGTATGTTATCTTTTTTGAAATGCCTATACAAGTCTTTTGTCTTTTATAGCTTAGCTTTTCTCTTATTGATTTATAGAAGTCTTTATTCTTGATATAAGTTTTGTCACATGTATGTATTGCAAATGTTTTTCTCCTACTTTGTAATTTGTCTTTTCACTTGGTTAATGGTATCTTTTGATAAACTCCCATTGGTCTCTTCTAATTCAATAAAGTATAATTTATCAAATTTTTCCTAGTGTTAATGTTTTCCTTAATGTTTTTCATGTCCTATTTAAGAATTGTGTTCAAATTGGGCAGAAACTAACTTGAGAATCCTGAAAGAAAATTAGCATCGAGGATGAGATAGCCTTTATTTTAGTAAATATTTCTTATATTTATATTATTTATCTTTCTATTATTTTTATAATGCTTTAAGAGCACGGTGCCATAGAACTTTCTGAGATGATAGATATGTTCCACATATTCACTATCCAATATGGTGGTCATAAGCCACATGTGGCCATGAGACTTTGAAATACAGTAATGCAATTGAAGAAATGTATTTTAAATTTTACTTGATTTAAATTTAAATATAAATAACTACGTGTGTCTAATGGCTACCATATTGCACATACAGCTTTAGAAACTTTTGACTGTCTTTTCCAGTTGACTCCTATTTCACCTTGTGAACCTGATTGCCATTTAATTTTATCACCAATTTAAGAATAAGGAAACAGAGGCACATAGAGGATAAGTAACTTGTCCACCATTGCAGTACTGTTAATGAGTAGAGTCTGGAATCAAATCCAGGTCTATCTGATTCTGGTCTTGTTTTAAAAACCATGAGGGCCGGGCGCGGTGGCTCATGCCTGTAATCCCAGCACTTTGGGAGGCCGAGGCGGGTGGATCACGAGGTCAGGAGATCGAGACTATCCTGGCTAACACAGTGAAACCCTGTCTCTACTAAAAACACAAAGAATTAGCCGGGCGTGGTGGCAGGCGCCTGTAGTCCCAGCTACTCCAGAGGCTGAGGCAGGAGAATGACGTGAACCCGGGAGGTGGAGCTTGCAGTGAACGGAGATCGCATCACTGCACTCCAGCCTGGGCAACAGAAATCCCAGCACTTTGGGAGGCTGAGGCTGGGGGTGGATCACCTGAGGTCAGGAGTTCCAGACAAGCCTGACCAATATGGTGAAACCCCGTCTCTACTAAAAATACAAAAATTAGCCGGGTGTGGTGACATGCACCTGTAGTCCCAGCTACTCGGAGTCTGAGACAGGAGAATTGCTTGAATCCGGGAGGCAGAGGTTTCAGTGAGCTGGGATCACTGCACTGCACTCCAGCCTGGGCGACAGAGTGAGAATCCGTCTCAAAAAAAAAAAAGAAAAAGAAAAAACACCTTCAGGACCTATATATACAAAATAAAACCACCATTAATTTTGAGAAGAGAAGAGATACTTGTCTGAAGACACAGAAAACTACTTAAATTAAAAAAAAAAGTTGAAATAAAGCTCAAAACCTAAGCCATCTCTTCCCTATGAAGCCTTCGCAATGATACCAGCTCAGATTGGTTTTTGTGGTTACAATTCCCTTTGTACTTATTCTTTAAAACATCTAATTAGTGTCTTATTGTAAATTGTATTTTCCAATGCTCTGAATGACAGAAATTGATAGAGTTAGAAGTAACTTATAATAGTAGCATTGTTCTCCTGTTTATGTTTTCATACATGTGTTTATTATATTCCCAATGTGATTAGAAACTGTAAACTTCTGTGCTCAGTTTCAAGTCACTAATAACTGGTCATTTTCCTTTGGAAATATGGAATGGCTCAAAATTGAATCTACTTAGGCCCTTCCACCAATCAGAACTATTTTTCTATCTTCTCTCCTTTTGTAATTCTTATCTTAGTGAACACTATCCACGTAGTTTCCCATATCAGAAACCTCATAACTTTGTCTCACCCACCTTCTGGTCCACCTGTTTTTAAAACATCTCTTGTGTCTTTCTCATCTCTCTCTAGCCTCACTGCCATATTATTAGATGAGGACTTCCATCTCTTTTTTCTGTTATATTGTGAGATTATTCTAACCTGTTTATTTTATGCTAGTCTTGCATTCTTCCAATTATTTTTCATCATGCTCAGAAGCTAGCACTCTAAAATTCAAATAATAACATGCATTCAACAAAAGGTTTCCAATATGTATATTACATACCCACTATGTTCTAGACACCATGCTGCCTATAGAAAATACAGCCATAAGCACAAAAGTTAAATTCTTCTCCATTAGCTACTAGTCAAAGTCCAAACTTATAATTGCACTTTGTAATCTGCCTAATTCTCCTATAAAATCAAGCACCAACTCCTATCTCTTCCCCCAAGGAATATTTCTCCCCATATATTCTATTCCCACCAGAAGTTTTTCTACTTCATTATGGGTTTTTGTGCCTTTGGAATTTGATGTGTACTTTATACTGTCAATAATGCCTTTACTTACTGACCTCCAAAAATTACATACAGCTCTATAACAACCAATTATATTTCAAAATGTGTGAACTTAAATATTCAAAATTTGTGAACTTAATGTTATTACTTTTGAAAATCTCAGAGACAGAAAACTACTTCCATGCTAACTGGGTGGAGAGCAAAATTTTGATATGAGTAATTCAGAGAAGTTTATTAGTTTGAAATGTTATTTCCTTTCCTTATTAAACAATAATAAATCACTAACATTCAGTAGTCTCTTGTTTTCCATTAATTTTGTAGAAAACTACAGTTTTTACATTATGTGATTCTTTTTTTTAAATACTTTAAGTTCTGGGATACATATGCAGAACATGGAGGTGTGCCACATAGGTATACACGTGTCATGGTGATTTGCTGCATCCATCAACCCGTCATCTACATGAGGTATTTCTCCTAATGCTATCCCTCTCCTAGCCCCCCACCACCCGACAGGCCCCAGTGTGTGATGTTCTCCTCCCTGTGTCCATGTGTTCTCACTTTTTTTTTAACTTTTAGGTTCAGGGCTACATGTGCAGGTTTGCTATATAGATAAATTGCATGTCATGTGAGTTTGGCATACAGATTATTTCATCACCCAGGTGATAATCATAGCAGCTGGTATGTAGTTTTTTGATCCTCACCCTCTTCCTACCCTCCTCCCTCAAGCAGGCCCTGGTGTCTGTTGTTCCCTTCTTTGTGTCCGTGTGCTCTAGTTGTTCCGCTACCATTTATAAGGTAGAACGTGCAGTATTTGGCTTTCTTTTCCTGTGTTAGTTTGCTTAGGAAGATGGCCTCCAGGTCCATCCATATTGCTGCAGAGAATATGGTCTCGTTCTTTTTATGGCTATTTTTCGTGGTGTACATGTACCAGATTTTCTTTATCCTGTCTACCATTGATGAGTGTTTAGGTTGATTCCATGTCTTTACTATTGTGAATTGAGGAGAATTCACATCACCACATGGAATTGTTTACTAATAATTTTTCATATTCTGGCAAACTACAAAATACCAAAAAGTCACAAAATAAACTTGAGTGTTGTTGACATGTTTGGGTTTTCACTCTCAAGGGTGACTTGCACATATTTTTAGGTGTCCAATTTTAAGTGATACCCTAAATGTTTTATTGGAAAGAGGACTTAAAATGAGAATAATTGTCATGTATACAACAGGAACATGCCTAGCAAAAATTAAGCAGAAAAAATTAGCAAAAACCTAATGTTCTGTTTCATTTTAGAGCTTTTATTGATTGAAGGAAAATAAAAAGGAAGAAAACACAAAGAAATGACATGGTTGTCTTAGTTAACAACTACCATCTTACATGATTATCTGTCTTTCCTGTCTGCTGCTACATTTAATAACTTGAAGGCAATTAAGAAAGAAGGGACACAAAGTATATAATATTATGTCCAAAGCAAATGACTTACTTTAGCTTTTTTTATTTTTACTATGTCTAAATGATTAACTTCATTAAACATACTAATTTATAGACTTTGAAATTAATGATATACTACTATGTTTGCTTTAAAATTAATTTTCCAATTTTAAATAAGCACTTGAAAATATCATTAATCCTCCTGTATTTATTATTAACAAGGTTTATTGCTTATTTCCATTGTACCACATATTTAGCTAATTTCTAATATAAATATGAAAAGCATGATTCTGATTACCCTTAAAGAAATTGAAGTCTAGTAATGAAGAAACACAAAAATTAACAATTACAATAAATTATGATATCCTGTGAAATACATTAATTGTAGACTATTAATAATTACAGTATACAAAGTATCTCTTTATGTGTTCCAAACCGTACTAGTATTGTTTCATTCATTATTATTGAGAATCTTATGCATTACTTTTTATTTCTAATGCCCAGAGTAAAATTTTCAATGTGGCAGAGCCAGTATAAACTGCCAGTCCTATTTGATTTCAGAGCCTGTGTGTTTTATATGTACAGACAAGAGGCATCTAACCTAATCAACAAAGTCATTCAGCTATGCCTTGAAAAAACATCGGATAAATACTTGTATAAGAGAAGGTAAGGTACATGATGCACTGGAGAACTATTATTATTTTATTAAGCCTCTAAAATGAGAAATGTCACAGAAATGGGATCTAGAGAAAGTGGGACAGTAACTATAAATGACCTCATATGCCATTGTTCACTATTACAGTGTCCTGTATTATGTATTTTATGTTTGAATTCACACAAATCTCATTATTTAAACTGTAATTCCTGAGCTTTACTATATTTAAATGTGTAATATAAATCTTCTCAAAACACATTATACTGTACCAACTTACACAGGAAACTTTTAGCACATACTTTTCTTGATGATTGTAATTAAGTTTGTCGATGTTCACATTGCCAACAGTAAGCTACTGACTAACCATTCTCTTTTACTTGCTGGATATTAAATAATTAAATCAAACATAAAATGTTTTGTCTTTTATTGAAAATGCAATGTGTTCATAATTCTTCTTTAAGAAAGTAGAGCCATTCTATTTTGATTTAAATAATTTCTTGATTATTTTTATTGGTAAATATGTAACTTGTTTATTTTAAAAATAAAACCTATATAGGTATTTCTAAATTTTATAGGATTATTTTTCAGACCAATGTTTTGTGAACCTGCTTAATATATTATAAACTTTAAACAGGAGACACTGTTAAGAGTTTCAAACTGTTTAAACTCCATTTGTATTGTTAATAGTATTTCATTTATACTGTTATTTTTTTTCCATTAGTATAGTTAATATTTTTCTGTAAATATCCAGCAGTTATTTAGTTTAGGTCTCATGAGTTTTGCCAATTTTATAAGTAACTGAGTCTCCAGTAACAGCAGAGGGAGCTCACAGTGTATGATTTAGATTATTGCTAAGTATTTGCTTCTGTGGTTCAATGTCAGGCTCTTAAAACTAAAAGTTTTATTTTTTCAAAGGAATTTGCATAAATAGGCAATGGCAGATACAATTTATGTACTATGCTTTATAGCAATAAAATATAGAGCAAAATAAATTTGATAACTTCATTACATATGCATTCATTAAATTCAAACTAATGAAAATTAAACTTGAATCACTTCCAAGTGATACAATTATCCTAGATTTCTATGTCTCACTGAAATCTATCTCCTGAGCTCCAGACTTTGATATCTATTCAGTATCTTTCTTCAGATGTGTAATAAACATCTCACTCAGTCCAAAAGTAATCTTCCCTTTCTGTCAACCTGTCTCTCACAGTCTTCCCCATCTCTGCTGAGGATAACATCATCCTCTAATTGCACAAACCACAGCCTTGGATTCACCTTGACCTACCTCTTTCTCTAAAATCTTAGGTCTCACCCATTGTAAAATTATTTTTGCTATTCTTTCAAAATATTTTAGAATGCAATTACTTTTCAATAGCTATATGAATATAGATGCTACCATCTATCATCACTTCTTTCTTTTTTTTTTTTTTGAGATGGAGTCTTGCTCTGTTGCCATGCTGGAGCGCAATGGCACAATCTCTGCTCACTGCAACATCTGAATCCTGGGTTCAAGGGATTCTCCTGCCTCAGCCTCCCAAGTAGCTGGGACTACAGGCCCGCACCACCATGCCCGGCTAATTTTTTGTATTTTTAGTAGAGACAGGGTTTCATCCTGTTAGCCAGGATGGTCTTGATCTCCTGACCTCATGATCTGCTCACCTTGGCCTCCCAAAGTGCTGGGATTACAGGCGTGAGCCACCGTACCCAGCCCCATCATCATTTCCTACTTGAATTGCTACAAGAGCCTCTTAAAGACTATTCTGCCCACTTTTTGATGGGATTGTTTATTTTTTTCCTGTAAATTTGTTTGAGTTCATTGTAGATTCTGGATATTAGCCCTTTGTCAGATGAGTAGATTGCAAAATTTTCTCCCATTCTGTAGGTTGCCTGTTCACTTTGATGGTAGTTTTCTTTTGCTGTGCAGAAGCTCTTTCGTTTAATTAGATCCCATTTGTCAGTTTTGGCTTTTGTTGCCATTGCTTTTGGTGTTTTAGACATGAAGTCCTTGCCCATGCCTATGTCCTGAATGGTATTGCCCAGGTTTTCTTCTAGGGTTTTTATGGTTTTAGGTCTAACATTTAAGTCTTTAATCCATCTTGAATTGATTTTTGTATAAGGTGTAAGGAAGGGATCCAGTTTCAGCTTTCTACATATGGCTAGTCAGTTTTCCCAGCACCATTTATTAAATAGGGAATCCTTTCCCCATTTCTTGTTTTTGTCAGGTTTGTCAAAGATCAGATGGCTGTAGATATGTGGCATCATTTCTGAGGGCTCTGTTCTGTTCCATGGTCTATATCTCTGTTTTGGTACCAGTACCATGCTGTTTTGGTTACTGTAGCCTTGTAGTATAGTTTGAAGTCAGGTAGCGTGCCTCCGGCTCAAAAAGTGGGCAAAGATATGAACAGACACTTCTCAAAAGAAGACATTTATGCAGCCAAAAGACACATGAAAAAATGCTCATCATCACTGGCCATCAGAGAAATGCAAATCAAAACCACAATGAGATACCATCTCACACCAGTTAGAACGGCGATCATTAAAAAGTCAGGAAACAACAGGTGCTGGAGAGGATGTGGAGAAATAGGAACACTTTTACACTGTTGGTGGGACTGTAAACTAGTTCAACCATTGTGGAAGTCAGTGTGGCGATTCCTCAGGGATCTAGAACTAGAAATGCCATTTGACCCAGCCATCCCATTACTGGGTATATACCAAAAGGATTATAAATCATGCTGCTATAAAGACACATGCACATGTATGTTTATTATGGCACTATTCACAATAGCAAAGACTTGGAACCAAGCCAAATGTCCATCAATGATAGACTGGATTAAGAAAATGTGGCACATATATACCATGGAATATTATGCAGCCATAAAAAATGATGAGTTCATGTCCTTTGTAGGGACATGGATGAAGCTGGAAACCATCATTCTCAGCAAACTATCACAAGGACAAAAAACCAAACACCACGTTTTCACTCATAGGTGAGAATTGAACAATGAGAACACATGGACATAGGAAGGGGAACATCACACACCGGGGACTGTTGTGGGGTGGGGATAGGGGAGAGGGATAGCATTAGGAGATATACCTAATGTTAAATGACGAGTTAATGGGTGCAGCACACCAACATGGCACGTGTATACATATGTAACAAACCTGCACATTGTGCACATGTACCCTAAAACTTAAAGTATAACAACAAAAAAGAATATTCTGGCTTTTTTCCATGTAACTTCCACCCTCAGTTTATTCTCAGCACAACAGCATATAAAATCTTTTAAAAATAAAAGATCTGTTGTGTCACTCCTTTCTTCAAAACCTTCCAATGGCTCCCCATTTCATGGAAAATGAAATCCAGTATCTTTTCAATAGCCTATTAGGCCTAGTACAATCACTCCCAAGAGAAAGTCTTAGACATAGAACTCTTAGCAGAAAAAAGTAGAATCTGATTAACAGGGGTGGGCGGGGGTGCCTTGGAGAGATATTGGTCAAAGTGTACACAGCTTCAGTTAGAAAGCATGATTAAGTTCTGGAGATCTATTACAGAGTATGATGACTATAGTCAATAATAATGCACTCTATACTCGAAAATGGCTAAGAAGGTAGATTTTAAAAGTTCTAACCACAAAAAATGATAAGTTTGTAAGGTGACGGATAGCTTAATAAACTTGATGAATAACTTAATTAAATCATTGTGGATTTACTCATTCCAAAATGTATACATATACAAAAAATCATGCTGTATTCCATAAATAAATACAATAAAAATATTTTTAAATAAATGAAACAAATTTTTAAAGAGGTACCAAAAATTCAGTAATCAAGCTAAATAATATTTAATGTAATAAACTAAAAATCAATATCAAACAAATATGTAACAAGGAAAATATCAAAAATTTAAATATAAGCAGATTACTCTTGTTAATTTATGACCCGGTATCATTGTGCAACTGGAACAGTTGTTTGTTATCAACTCTCTTTTCCTGGGTCTGGGCAGTGGTCGTCACTCCTTGCCTCGCATGTTTATGAGAGTTCACAATGATTTGAAAATTGATTTAGCATCTGAGATTTACTATATAAATATATCTATTCTATAAGCATATATGTAATACATAAAGGTATATGTGCATAACACACTATACATATATATAGGTCTATGCAGGCATACTTCATTTTATTGCACTTCACAGCTACTGTGTGTTTTTCAAATTGAAGGGTTGTGGCAACCCTGCATTGAGCACATCTTTTGGTGCCATTTTTCCACAAGCATGTGCTCACTTCATGTCTGTGTCACATTTTGGCAATTCTCACAATATTCAAATTTTTTCATTATTATTATATCCGTAATGATTCTCCATGATCAGTGATCTTTGATGCTACTATTGTAATTGTTTTGGGGCACCACAAACTATACCCACATAAGACAGCAAACTTAATTAATAAATGTTTTGTGTGTTCCAGCTGCTCTGCCAACGAGTTGTTTCCATGTTCTCTTTCCCTCTCAGATCTCTGAGGAGACACAATATTGAAATCAGGTCAATTAATGACCCTACGATAGTCTCTAAGTGTTCAAGTGAAGAAAGAGTTATATGTCCCTTGCTTTAAGTCAAAGGTTCTAGGGCCCTTAAGAATTATGCTAAATCTACTCTGCCTGTGCTCCATTAATGAAAGTCAAGTCAAAAGCTAAAAATGATTAGCCTTAGGGAGGAAAGGCATGTCAAAAGCTGAGATAGGCCAAAAGCTCAACTTTTTGTGCCAAACTGTTAGCCAACTTGTAAATACAATGAAAAAGTTCTTGAAGGAAATTAAAAGTGCTGCTCTAGTGACCACACAAATGATAAGAAAGTAAAACAGCCTTTTTGCTAATAGGAAGAAAGTTTTAATGGTCTGAACAGAAGATCAAACCAGCCACAGCATTCCCTTAAGCCAAAGCCTAATCCAGAGCAATGTCTTTTCTTTGATTCTTCAAAGCTGAGAGAGTTGAGGAAACGCAGAAGAAAAGTTGGAAGCAAGCACAGATTGGCTCATGAAGTTTTAGGAAGGAAGCTGTCTTCACAACATAAAATTGCAAGGTGAAGGAGCAAATTTTGATGAAGAAGCTGCAACAAGTTCTCCAGAATATCTAGTTAGGAGAATTGATGAAGGTGGCTATGCTAACAATAGATTATCAATGTAGATGAAATAGCCTTCCCTTGGAAGAAGATGCCATCCAGGACTTTCATAATTAGAAGTCAATGCCTGACTTTGAAGATTCAAAGGACAGATTGGCTGTCTTGTTAGGGGATGATGTAGCTGATGACTTTAAGTTAAAGCCAACGCTCATTTGCCATAATGAAAATTCTAGGCCCCTTAAGAATTATGCTAAATCTCCTCTGCCCTTGCTCCATAAATAAAGCAACAAAGCCTGGATGACAGCACATTTGCTTACAGCATGGTTTACTGAATATTTTAAGCTCACTGATGAGAGCTGCTGCTCAGAGAAAGAGATTTTTTAAAAAAATATTACTGCTCTTTGACAATATGCCTAGTCACCCAAGAGCTCTGATAGAGATATACTAGGAGATTAATGTGGTTTCCAAGCCTGCTAACACAAAATCCATTTTGCAGCCCATGGTCAAGTAGGAATTTTAGCTTTCAAGTCTCATTATTTAAGAAATACATTTCAGAAGGGTTTAACTTCCACAGATAACGATTCTTCTGATGGATCTGGACAAAATAAGTGAAAAGCTTTCTGGAAAGGATTTAATGCCATTCAGAATATTTATGATTCATGGATGGAGGTCAAAATATCAACAGGAGTTTGGAAGAAGTTGATTCCAAACTTCCTGAGTGACTCTGAGGAGTTCAAGACATCAGGGGAGGAAATCGCTAAAGATGTGGTATAAGTAGCAAGAGAACTATGATTAGAAGTAAAGCCGGAAGATGTGACTAAATTGCTGCAATCTCATGATAAAATGTTAATGGATGAGGAATTGCTTCTTACGGATGAGTAAAGAGAGTGATTTCTTCACATGTAATCTATTCCTGGTGAAGATGTTGTCAATGTTGTTTTAATGATCAAAGGGTTTATAATGTTACATGCACTATGTTGATAATGTAGTGGCCGGATTTGAGAGGATTGACTCCAATTCTTAAATTATACTGTGGATAAAATGACATCAAACAGCATTGCATGTTACAGAGAAATCTTTCATGAAAGGAAGAATCAAGTAATGTTATAAACTTCATTGTCGTCTTACTTTAAAAAATTGCCACAGCCACTTCAACCTTCAGCAACCACCACCTTGACCTGTCAGCAGCCATCAACATCAAGGCAAGGCTCCCCACCCGCAGAAAGATTATAATTTGCTGAAGGTTCAGATGATCATTAGTGTTTTTAACACTAAGGCATTTTTAAATGAAGTTATATATATATTGTATTTTTAAACCCAATCCTATTGCACACTTAATAGATTACACTGTAGTGTAAACATAACTTTTATAAGCACTAAGAAACCAAAAAATATATGTGATTCGCTTTATTGCCATGGTCTGGAACCAAGAACACAATATCTCTGATTTATGCCTGTGTGTGTGTGTTTCTATAGGGGCGTATGTGTAGGGAGATGTATGTTGTACACACATTATATACATAGGATGCATACATAGAGAGTGATGTATTATATGTGACATGTATCTCCATATATATATAGTATCTTTCTATCTCTATCACTCTTTTTCTCTCTACTTCAATATATACATATGTCTTCCTATATATATGTATATCTCTATATTTACTCCCATAGCATATATCTCCATGTATATATAAATTCTCACATATAAATTTACCTATATATATATATCCATATATATCACTGTTTACACAGACATAGACAAAGCTCTAATGTATATTGTGTGTTTATGTACATAGCACATAAATGTATGTGTGTATACAGTCATGTGTCACATAATAGTGTTTTGATCAACAACAGACCTCATTTATAATCTTTGTCTCATAGATTATAATAGAGCGGAAAAAATTCTATCATCTAGTGACACCATAACTGTTGTAACTAACATTCCTAGTTCAATGGATTACTCAAGTGTCTGTGGTGATGCTCACGTAAAAAAAAAGCTATTGAGCTGCTAATTATATAAATGTATAACATATACAATTATGCATAATACATAATACTTGATAATGATAATAACTGACTATCACTAGTTTATGTATTTACTATGTCATACTTTTCATTGCTATTTTACAATGTACTTCTTCTACTTATAAAAAAATAGTTACATAAAATAGCCTCAGTCAGGTCCTTTAGGAGGTACTCCAGAAGAATGCATTGTTATCACTGGAGATGACAGTTCAATGCATGTTATTGCCCTTGAAGACTTTCCAGTGGGACAAGATGTGGAGGTGGAACAGTGATATTTATTGATGATTCTGACTCTGTATAGGTTTCCTATGTATGTGTTCCATCATCTTTTTTAACAAAAAAGAAATAGTTTTAAAGGTACAAAAAAAAAGATAGAAACATAGCTTATAGATTAAGAATATAAAGAAAGAAACTATTTTTGTATAGCTGTAAGATGTGTTTGGGCTTTAAGACAAGAGTTATTACAAAAGGTTAAAAAATTTTCAAATAATAAGCTTATACTCTATAAAAGTTATAGTAAGCTAAGGCTAAATTATTATTGAATAAAGGATTTTTAATAAATTTGTATATCCTGTGTGTATAGTGTTGATAAAACCTACAGTAGTGTACAGTTATGTCCTCGGCCTTCACATTCTCTTACCCCTCACTCACTGACTCATCCAGAACAACTTCCAGTCTTACAAGCTTCGTTCATGGTAAGTGCCCTATATAGGTATACCACATTTTCTATTTTGTATTATATTTTTACTGTACCTTTTCTATGTTTAGATAGGTTTAGATACACAAATAATTACTATTGTGTTATAATTGCCTACAGTATTCAATACAGTAACATGCTATACAGGTTTTAGCCTAGGAGCAAAAGGCTACACCATGTAACATAGGTGTGTAGGATGTATACCATCAGGTTTGTGTGAGTAAACTCTATGATACAAGGACAAAAAATTGCCACTGATGCATTTCTCAGAATGTACATGTGTCATTAAGCAATGCATGACTATACTATGCTGTTTACTTATTCATTATAGTTAGTTTCTACTTAAAATTGAAAGTACCAAAAGACCAGGTTTTTAAAAGAAATCTCTGATGTAGCTCAGGCATAGCTATGTCTGCAATTTCACAGATGTAGTAGGTGCTACTAAATATTGGTTGAATATTTATTGAATATATATGATAGACATTAATTTTGATTGCTTTTTAGGGTACGTATGCTGTCATATATTTTCAGTTCTGTGCTATACTAGTGATTCTTTTTATCTAATATCCTGAAGTTTTAACTTTAAAGCTAATCTTGGTGAGAATTATCAATCAATCATATATATGTGTGTGTGTGTGTGTGTGTGTGTGTGTGTGTATGTATGTTTAATAATGCATAGTAGGTATTCAATAAAATGCAGGTGATTTTTGGTATAGTGTACTTGGAGCAAAAGGATGACAAAAGCTTTGTAATAATTTTCTTTTTTTTTCAGATTTTTTTTGAAGTGAGATTCACATAGTATAACACTTACAATTTAAAAATGAACAATTGAGTAGCACTGGGCACCTTCACAGTGTTGTACAACCATCACCTCTATCTAATTCTAAAACATTTTCATTACCTGAAAAGAAAACCTTTCAAACATTAAGCATCTTTCTTCTCTCCAGTCCCTGGCAACCACCAATCTGTGTTCTGTCTCTTATGGACTTATCTGTTCTAGATATTTCATATAAAGGGAATCATACAATATGTGACCCTTTGTGTTGGGCTTCTTTCACTTAGCATGTTTTTGAGGTTCATCCACATGGTAGATGTATCAGTACTTCATCCCTTTTAATGGCTGAGTAATATTTCATTCTGCAATATACAAGAGTTTGTTTCTCCATTTATTCATTGATGGGCATTTGAACTGTTTTCATTTTTTGGATGTTGTAAATAGTACTGCTGTGACCATGTATATACATTTAATTTTTTGAATTATTTGGGGTATGTACCTAGGAGTAGAATTGCTGGGTCATATGATAATTCCATGTTTAATTTTTTGAGGAGCTGTCGAGCTCTTTTCTTCAGTGGCTGCACTATTTACACTCCCACCAGCAATATACAAGAGTTCAAATTCTTCCACTTCCTTGCCAAAACTCTTTATTTTCCATTTTTAAAATTATCATTCTAGTGAAAGTGAAGTGGTACTTCACTTTGGTCTTAATATGTATTTCCCTAATGACTAATGATTTTGCACTTCTTTTCATGTGCTTGTTAACCATTTGTACATCTTAGGAGATCCAAATGTTATTATTTTTTAAATTTTATTCAGATACACGTTATTCATATTTTTAAATTATATATATTGTTTCAATAGGATTTTGGGGAGATGTTGCTTCGTTACATGAATAAGTTTTTTAGTGGTGATTTCTGAGCTTTTGTTGCACCTGTCACCTGATCAGTGTACACTGTACCCAATGTGCTGTCCTTTATCCCTCACCCTCCTCCCACCCTTTTCTCTGAGTCCCCGAAGTCCATTACATTATTCTTATGCCTTTGCATCCTCATAGCTTAGCTCCCACTTATAAGTGAGAACATATGATATTTGGTTTTTCCATTCATGAGTAACTTCACTTAGAATAATGGTTGCTACCCAGGGTGCAGTGAATGCCATTATTTCATTCCTTTTTATGGCTAAGTAGTATTCCACGGTATGCATCAACCACAACCTCTTTATCCACTCGTTAATTGATGGGTATTTGGACTGGTTCCATATTCTTGTGATTGTGAATTCTGCTGCTATCAACATGCATGTGCAAGTATCTTTTTTGTATAATGACTTCTTTCCCTCTGGGTAGATTCCCAGCAGTGGGATTGCTGGATCAAATGGTAGTTCTACTTTTAGTGCTTTAAGGAATCTCCACACTGTTTTCCATGGTGGTTGTACTAGTTTACATTTCCAACAGCAGTATAAGTGTTCCCTTTTCATGACGTCCACACCAACATCTATTTATTATTATTATTATTATGGCCATTCTTGCAGGAGTAAGGTGGTATCACATGGTGGTTTTTATTTGCATTCCCCTAATCATTAGTGATGTTGAACATTTTTTTTCATATGTTTGCTGTCCTTTTGTATATCTTCTTTTAAGAATTGTTCAGTCGGGTGTGGTGGCTGGCGCCTGTAGCCCCAGCTACTCGGGAGGCTGAAGCAGGAAAAGGACACGGATCCAGGAGGCGGAACTTGCAGTGAGCCGAGATTGCGCCACCGCACTCCAGCCTGGTCGACAGAGCAAGACTCCGTCAAGAAAAAAAAAAAAGAAAAGAAAAGAAAAGAAAAAAAAGAATTGTTTAGTCATGTTCTTAGCACACGTTTTGATAGGAATGCTTGTTTTTCTCTTGCCGATTTGTTTGAGCTCCTTGTAGCTCTGGATATTAGTACTTTGTCAGATTGCAAAGATTTTTTTCCCATTCTTTGGGTTGTCTATTTACTCCGCTGATTGTTTGTTTGTTTGTTTGTTTGTTTTTGGTTTTGATTTTTTGCTGTGCAGAATCTTTTTAGTTTAATTAAATCCCATCTATTTATGTTTGTTTTTGTTGCATTTGCTTTTGGGTTCTTGGTCATGATGTCTTTGCTTAAGCTGATGTCTAGAAGGATTTTTCTGATGTTATCGTCTAGAATTTTTATGGTTTCAGGTCTTAGATTTAAGTCCTTGATCCATCTTGAGTTGATTTTTGTATAAGGTAAGAGATGAGGATCTAGTTTCATTCTTCTACACGTGACTTGCCAATTATCCCAGCACTATTTGTTGAATAGGGTGTCCTTTACCCACTTTACGTTTTTGTTTGCTTTGTCAAATTTCAGTTAGCTGTAAGTACTTGGCTTCATTTCTGGGTTCTCTATTCTGTTTCATTTGTCTAAGTGCCTATTTTTATACCAGTGTCATGCTGTTTTGGTGACTATGGCCTTATAGTATAGTTTGAAGTCAGGTAATGTGATGCCTCCAGGTTCGTTCTTTTTGCTTAGTCTTGCTTTGGCTATGTGGGCTCTTTTTTTGGTTCCATATAAATTTTAGGATTGTTTTTTCTAGTTCTGTGAGGAATGATAGTGGTATTTTAATGGGAATTGTATTGAAATTGTAGATTGCTTTTGGCAGTATGGTCATTTGCACAACATTGACTCTACCTGTCCATGAGCATGGGATGTGTTTTCATTTGTTTGTGCATCTATGATTTCTTTTAGCAGTGCTTTGTAGTTTTCCTTGTAGAGGTCTTTCACCTCCTTGGTTAGTTATATTCTTAAGTATTTTATTTAATTTTTGCAATTATTGTAAAAGTGGTTGAGTTCTTGATTCTCAGCTTGGACGCTGTTGGTGTATAGCAAAGCTATTGATTTGTGTACATTAATTTTGTATACTGAAACTTTGCTGAATTCATTTATTAGTTCTAGGAGCTTTTTGGAGGAGTCTTTAGGGTTTTCTAGGTACACAAGTATGTCATCAGCCAACAGCAACAGTTTTACTTCCTCCTTACTAATTTGTATGACTTTTATTTCTCCTTTTTTTTTTTTTTCCGATTGCTCTGGCTAAGACTTCCAGTACTATGTTGACTAGAAGTGGTGAGGGCAGGTATCCTTGTCTTGTTCCAGTTCTCAGAAGGAATGCTTTCAACTTTTCCCAGTTTCGTTTGTTGTAGGCTGTAGGTTTGTCATAGATGTCTTTTATTACATTAAAGTATGCCCCTTCTATGCCAATTTTGCTAAGGGTTTTAATCATAAAGGGATACTGGATTTTGTCAAGTGCTTTTTCTGCATCTATTGAGGTGATCATGTGATTTTTGTTTTTAATTCTGTTTAGGTGGTGTATCACATTTATTGACTTGTGTATGTTAAACTATCCTTGCATCCCTGGTATGAGACCCACTTGATCATGGTGGATTATCTTTTCGATATGCTGTTGAATTTGGTTTGCTAGTATTTTGTTAATGACTTATTCATTCATATTCATCAGGGATATTAGTCCATATGTTTCTTTTTTTTTTTTTTTTTTGTTATGTCCTTTCCTGATTTGGGTATTAGGGTGATACTGGTTTCATAGAATGATTTAGGGAGTATTCTCTCTTTCTGTATCTTCTGGAATAGTGTCAATAGGATACATACCAATTCTTCTTTGAATGTCTAATAGAATTCAGCTGTGAATTTGTATGATCCCGGACTTTGTTTTGTTGGCATTTTTTTAATTACCATTTCAAACTCGCTGCTTGTTATTGGTCTGTTCAGTTTCTATTTCTTTCTGGTTTAATCTTGGAGGGTTGTATATTTCCAGGAATTTATCCATCTCCTCCAGGTTTTCCAGTTTATGCACATAAAGATGTTCACACTATCCTTGAATGATCTTTTGTATTTCTGTGGTATCTGTCGTAATATCTCCCATTTTGTTTCTAATTGAGCTAATTTGATCTTCTGTTTTCTTTTCTTGCTTCATCTCACTAATGGTCTGTTGATTTTTTTTATCTTTTCAAAGAATCAGCTCTTTATTTCATTTATGTTTTGTACTTTTTGTTGTTTCACTTTCATTTGGTTCTGCTCTGATCTTTGTTGTTATTTTTTTCTTCTGCTGGATTTATGTTTGATTTGCTCTTGTTTCTCTAGTTCTTTGAAGTGTGACCTTAGATTGTCTATTTGTGCTCTTTCAGACTATTTAATGCAGGCCTTGAAGGCTATGAACTTTCCAGTTAGCATTGCCTGTGTTGTATCTGAGAGGTTTTGATAGGTTGTTTCATTATTATTGTTCAGTTCAAAGAATTTTTAAATTTCCATCCTGATGTTATTGTTGACCCAAAGATCATTTATGAGCAGTTTATTTAATGTCCATGTATTTGCATGGTTTTGATGGTTCCTTTTGGAACTGATTTCCAATTTTATTCCACTGTGGTGTGAAAGAGTACTTGATATAATTCCAATTTTCTTAAATTTATTGAGGCTTGTTTTGTGCTCTATCATATAGTCTATCTTGGAGAATGTTCCTTGTGCTGATGAACAGGATTTACATTCTGCAGTTGTTTGGTAGAAAGTTCTGTAAATATCTGTTAAGCCATTTGTTCTAGAGTGTAGTTTAAAGCCATTGTTTCATTGTTGACTTTCCGTCTTGATGATCTGTCTAGTGCTGTCAGTGGAGTATTGAAATATTCCACATACTGTGCTGCTGTCTATCGGCACAGTAGGTTTGTTAGGTTTAGTAGTAATTGTTTTTATAAACTCGGGAGCTCCAGTGTTAGGTGGATATATATTTAAGATTGTGATATTTTTCTGTCAGATAAGTCCTTTTATCACTGTATAATGTCTCTCTTTGCCTTTTTTAACTGCTATTGCTTTAAAGTTTGTTTTGTCTGATACAAGAATAGCTACTCCTGCTCACTTTTGGTGTCCGTTTGCGTGAAATATCTTTTTCCGCCCCTCTACCTTAAGTTTATGTGAGTTCTTATGTGTTAGCTGAGTCTCTTGAAGACAGTAGATACTTGGTTGGTAAATTCTTATCCATTCTACCATTCTGTATCATTTGAGTGGAGGATTTAGACCATTTACATTCGACATTGGTATTGAAATGTGAGGTACTGTTCTATTTATTGTGCTATTTGTTGCCTGAATACCCTTTTTTATTATTTTGTTTTTGTTTTATAGGTCCTGTGAGATTTATAGGAAGTTTTGTAAAAACTTTCTGTAGAAAAATGCAATGTTACTTTCTCAATTGAAAAAAAAATTATTATAGAAATAATTTCGATCTCTATGTAGCCTTTCCTTCAATTTTTTTAAAATAATAAGATATGTAAATCAGATGAGTCTGATGGTATTTAAGCTGGCATTTTGGACTGGTAGGTGTCTGATTGCCTGTTATAAGTAAAAAATTATAAATCTTAACTGATTATCTTAAGAAAGATATTCATACTAAGGTTATTGCATTATTTTATCATTTTTATAGGCAATGATACAAACATGATCAAATCTGCTCGTTACTCAAAATAACTGTGTAGCTTTCCTCCACTGTCTCAAGACCAAAACTGAAAGGCTTTTGCATGGCTTCTGCGTATTTAGCTAAAACAACCTGTGGCTTTCTAAAACACATCAACCATGCTCAAACTCAGAAGCCTTTGACCATATTATTTTTCTGTTTATTTGAAATATTTACTGTGGCAAACCTCATCAGTAGTCCCCCCCAAATCTATTTTCTCTCTCTCCAGGTCTTTCAGTCTCCGCTGCAGTTAAGTACAGCACGGGATGAAGTTCTGTGAGACAATGAAATGCATGCCACTTCTAAGTCTGGCATATAAATCTTCCACAAGCACTCCTCCAAGCTCTGTTTATTTAACTGATTAGAACAACTTTGTAAAGGGTTAATCTTAGAAGTCACACATTAAAAATTCCAAGTAACCATTAGTCTGAGTATGAGAATAGTTGTATAAAGAAGACTTCCTTGCTGTAAATTAACCTGCCCCGGATGTACTTATGAAAGAGATAAATGTCTTGCTCTACTACCATTGAAACAGAAATAGATGACATTGTTACTGGATTTTTTAGTGTGAACATTATCAGAATAATCATGAAGTCATTTGTCTTAACAAACAAACAAAAACTCTTCTGACAAATAGAGCTAGGTAAGGGTATAAAAAGGGTTCCCAAGCTTGTATGCCTGATAACAAAACCATCACAAAAAACATTGCAGAAACCACAACCTTGCACAAAGGCCATTACAACGTTAAAAAAAATGCTGGGAGGACATCTGCCCAGCAACTGCCTGTCTAACCTCAGACTTGTGTCACTCTTATTGATTTGTGTAGCCAAGGATAATCATTTCAAAGCAATCATGTAATCCTTGTCATTTTTCCTTTGAAAACCCTTTGTCTTTCTTTACCTTCCTGAATACACACATAAGTTACTCTGGCATGTGTGTTCTCACTGCAACATCCTATTGAAGAATAAATATCTCATTTTTTTAGGGAACATTTCTCTGTTTATAATGTAGGTTTACATTAGCTTATCCTAATATACTGCTAACAAATACCCAATGCCTACATCTATTAAGTAGATGTCTTCCCTGACTTTTACCCAACTCCCAAGGCAGAACTGGAGTTCTGTGTTCCCACTGAAATAGCTATGATTATTCCACAGATAAATTACAACATTCAATGGTAAATATTTTTATATTTGTCTTCGTCTTACTATTGAACTCTTAAAGGATAAGGATTTAATTTTCCACTCTCAGAGTCTCAGATGCAGAGTATCTAGAACACTCTAAATCCTGAATATTTATTGCTTTATTAATACATAAACAAATGAATCAATGGCCTCAGAAATAATGCATACTTAATTCTACTCAGCAGCACTTTCAAAATTAAAATATTAGTTCATTGAATCTTTAAAAACTGCAAAATACCTCCTACATATTTCTTATTTTTTTTCTGTCCCTCTTTCTCCAGTCAAATACCACCACCACCACCAACAAAACAGAAATCCTACACAGATATATCCACATGAAAACAATGTCTTTTTAGAATCCAGATGTTCACATTACAGATTATTATGGACTTTCAGAAGTTCATCTTGTCAAATAAAGTTTGCATTTTCATAACATTCATTATTTAATGTAGACCATAGTGAATGTAGTAGAATACAAACTCTAATAAAAATTGTTTTATTCAAAATGCTATTTTTCTCCTTCAGTTACAAATGAGAAATGCTTTAAATTTATATTGGAAGCACACATCAGTATGGTAAGGACATAGCCTTCAAAAGGTCAGTTGTTATTGTGTACAAGGAAACCGTAACAAAATTTCATTGCTCATTCTCTTGTAGGGGTTAATTAGTCAAATCTGCAATGCCACTTAGTAATTTTCACACACATCACATAGTTCAAGTGCACACACCACAAAGCAATTACACAGCAGTGAAAATTTGACAAAGGAGAAAAGCAAGATCAAATTCAGTAATGTCTACTTCTTTCTTCTAAAAATAATACCTTTGGCTCGAAACAGTCTCCTGCCTGTTAGATTACTCTATATTGGAAAACAGAGTGCCGAGAGAGAAAAGAGAAAAAATGGTATATCAAGAAGTAGAACTAGTAATAACATCTACTGAATTATATGGTTCCAGAATATTGTAAATCACAGAAAAATGTAGCAAAACAGTAGAACTATAAGAAAATGAACATATGGAGTAAAAACATAAGCAGATAAACACTTTTTCTGTCTTATGCTTTGAATTTTTTTTAAAATCTCCATTAGTTCTTTGGAGTAATTGTGCAATATTTTTCAATGATTTCTTTTCGATAGTACCCTCTGATACTTAGAATTTCAACAGTCTAGTTTTATATCAAGGGATAACGTGATTCAACAATTATATATCTATTTATTTTCACTCTTTGTTTCCCCCATTTTAAAATGCCTACTTTTCCTGATGGCTTGCCAACATTTCCAATTCCATTAGAAGGCATTATTTCAATACAAAAGCACTCTTTTAGTTTGCTTATAATGAATGGGAATATTTATAGGTGTACATTTCTTAAATGGCATGTTTTCTATAAAATTTACATTTGAAAGAATTGTTTTATAAATTTGAATAACTATTGCACATATATAATTTTCAATTTGTTTGAAAACAATATATTTAAGCAAGAAGATAATAAATATTTACTTCATCTATACTGTACAATAAACTCTGAGTTTCTATTGCATTAGGGTAAGACCACGGTATAAATAATCTAAACCCATTTTAACATATTATTGAAGTATATTGTGTTTCAATTCCACAATATATATAATTTATATTTGGTGGAATTTAGTAAACTTCAGTATGACTTCACATTGTTGGATGTTAAAAGAATAAATATTTAATATTTTCTCTTCGATTGTTTATTTGGGATATCTATCACCAATAGTCAGAGTTGGTTCCTTCTTTCCTTACTCATATTCTTTTTGTATTTTTCCCTCAACAAAAGAGAAGTACTATATAATATAAAAATTTCAAGTAGCTCCTAATATTTCTAGATATAATCTCAAAAGCCATCATCTTTGAAGTTACTTACAGAAATAATTGGTTTTTAATTTTTTAAAGTACTTTTCAATGAGTGAATAAATGAAAAAGAAATACTTAACAGGAAACATTTAAAATAGTAAAATTGGATTGTCTGACTTTGCTGTGCCTCCACAATTTTCACCAAATTTATTAGTTATTCTATATCTATTTATATTTTCATTTAACTAGCATTTACTAATTTTATTTCTTGAACATATGCAATCAACATTGGAAGTAATTCTAAAAGCATTCATGCCAACAGTGAGAAGCTAGCCTGAAATTAGGACTTTGTTTCAGTTTATATACACATCCAGCCAGTAACCATATACGTTCAATAAATGAATTTAAAACAATTCTAGGTCTATCCAAAATTTAGCGACACCATTAAATCCTACCTTTTATTTCCAAGATTGTCAACAGAACATTCCATGAAGAATGTATCCCAGAAGAAGACATCTGATAGAGAATCATAAAAGTCAAAATAGCATGGCCTACTATTAGGTACAATTATAAAATCTGATTGATAAGGAAAGAAATAGAAAGGTTACATATATAAAATAGATGTGAAGAGATAGAGTTAGATAAACATAGATTTGGGTATAGATGGAAATATAGATGAGAAGATTTAGAAATATATTTAGAAGAATGTATAGGTACAGATAAAAATATAGATACCAATTCAAAATCAACTTTTTACCATCTCTCCAGTCCATGAAAGAGAAGAAGTATCTTTGGGTCTTGGAGAATTGGGGAGAAGAATCTGAGCATGCTCAATGGGCACTCTTCCTCTTATTTCTTCTGGATCCTGTCTGTGCAGAGAAAAGCATGTGTTCACGTTGGATATTTTCTGTGTGGTAAGAGTGATGACCCTGCCTGGGAAATGTGAATGCACATGCGACTCAGTGAATAAATGAATCTCATTACAAGTATTATAAACTGTATATCTCAGTCCAGTCTATCACTAATAAAGCTAATCGTTCAACTTCTAAGTTTGGAGAAACTAGCTCTTAACTTGTTTTGCACTCAGCTGTGTTGGAGGGATGTTATTTATTGTCCCAGAAGATAACCGTTTTGCATCCTCATAATACATAAATATATTATTTTCTTAGAAACAAAATGGAAATATATTTCCTGTCAGTTTGCATACCAAATAATGCTTCATATACAATATAGATGTTCTAACAAGTGTAAAATGACACACTGGGTAAGAAATAAAATTAATAATTTACTTGGGAAATACATTTTTTAAAAATTCTGAATATATAATGGCATCTTTGACTAACTTTATTGATTGAAACTTTTCACCTATTCTTTGTGACAGCTAAGTACTGGGAAAGGGGACACCCCCAATCTGAGACTTATTAATGCATGTGTCCTATATAAATAAAACCCTAAATAAAATTTATTTCACCCATTAGCAGGACACTATGTATTCCATCTAACCTCTGATTAAAAAAAATAAAATTTTAGGTGGAAAAAAAGGACTGATACGATGTGTAAAGCACTGTTTTTGGTGCTAAAGGGCTCACAGAAGTGCACAAGCCAAGATCCCTTCATTCTAAGGGTTGAGAAAAATTAAAACAAAAATGATTTCTCATCTATCTATCTATCTGTCTGTCTGTCTGTCTGTCTGTCTGTCTGTCTATCTATAATGAGACATGTAAAAAAATTTGGTTGAACTGTGTGAGAACAGATTATTCTCTCTTTAGAAATATTAAGGCCGGGCTTTGAAAGACAAATAAGACTTCAACAACATATAAACAGAAGCACAGAAAATAATACTAGCAAAGCCATAGGTCAGTTTCATTACAGTTAAATACTTTATTGCAGCAAGTACCGATATTGAGTGGTTACCTTGTAAAACTATTAATATATTGGAAAGGCTAGTTGGATTTTTTGTCCCAATCAACTCACTCCTATACCATGCAGTCGACATTCTATAAAGCAGATCCCTGAGTTCCTCTCCTCACACCAAAGTTTAAAGAGAGAACCATCCTAACTGGTTCATATCATGATATTCTCCTCAACTTGCTTAAGTTTCTCTTGGTCAACCAACCAGTGTCATCCAGGACCCATTTATAATCTCATTATGGCTCACAGAACTCACATTCCATGGATGTCCTATCACGTGAATTTCACACATCTGCCAAACAAAGGTTTTACAAGCTTGACTTCCTTCATAAACCACTTCATGAAATATACATCTACTCTTCTCCTTCCCCTCATTGCTTCTTATTCCCTCTCTCTCTGTGCTTCAAGTGTATTTGCTATTTTCTTTGGTTTTTTCTGTTTTTGGTCCTTCATGACAAAAGACTTTTGTAAAAACTGGGAGCTAACTTTTGCTTTTTACTGTATCTTGAGAGCATAATAAAATAATAAGTATTTATAGGTATAAAATATACACTTATATTTGCTGTAGGAGTTATCATGGCAACAAATGAATGAATATCACTTCCATATAAGTCTCAACCCAATGACTTAGAAATCAAGTTCAATCAAAAACCATTTTTGAAAAGGCCTTAATTATATTCTGCAAGTATTGAATAACAATACAATTTTATTTAGGCAAGTAGTTCTTTTAAACTTCTGAAGGCCTAAAAATCCTTTAGAACCATAAAAATACAAAAGAGCTAAGGGAATCTTGAGGAAGAACAAAGCTAGAGGCATCAGACTTTTCGATTTCAAATTATATTACAAAGTTGTAACAATCAAAATAGTTTTGGTTCTGGAATGAAAACAAATACACAGTCCATTGGAAAGGAAATAGAGCCCAGAAATAAACCCACACATATATGGTAAACTAATCTTTAATAAACGTGCCAAAAATACACAATAGGGAAAGATAGTCTCACCTATAAATGGTGTTGGAAAAATTATCCACATGCAAAAGAATGAAATAGGAACTTCATCTTATACCATACACACAAATCAACTCTATGTAATCAAAATAGATTAAAGACTTAAAACATAAGACCTGAATCTGTACAACTCCTGGAAGAAAACAAAGGGGGAAGCTCTTTTAAATTGGTCTTGGCAATGGTTTTCTTTGGATATGATACCGAAAGCTCAGGCAACAAAAGCAAAAATAAAGAAGTGGTACTACATCAGATTTAAAAGTTTCTGTGCAGAAAAGCAAGCAATCAACAAAACTAAAAGGCAGACTATGCAATGGGAGAAAATATTTGCAAACCCTATAACTGGCAAGAGGTTAATATCTAAAATATATAAGAAACTCCTACAGCTCAATAGCAAAAACAAACAAAAAAGATCAAACAACAATGGCAACAACAAAATCATCCAGTTAATAAAAGAGCAAAGGACCTGAATAGATATTTTTTCTGGACAAGATATAAGAATAGCCAAAAACTGTAATAAAAGGTGCTCAATACCATTAAATATCAGGGAAATGCAAATCAAAATTGAAATGATATATCACCTCATATCTGTTAGAATAACTATTTTCAAAAAGTCAAAAGATAACAAGTGTTGGCAAGAATATGGATAAAAGGGAACCTGTGTACACTGTTGGTGGGAATGTAAATTGGTGCAGCTGCTATGGAAAACAGTATGGAAGTTCCTCAAAAAAATAAAAATAGAACCACCATATGGTCCAGCAATCCCACTTTTTGGTAAATATCCAAAGGAAAAGAATAACTATCTCACAGAAATATCTGTACTCCCATGTCCATTGAAGCATTATTCACAATAGCTAAGATATGAAAATAACCTAAGTATCCATCAATGGATGAATATATACATAATATGTGACACACGCACACAAATATTCTTCAACCTTTTTTAAAAAAGAAAATCCTGCTATTTAGTCAACATGGATGAACCTGGAGGACAATATGATAGTGAAATAATCCAGACAGAGAAAAATGAATACTGTATGATATCATTTATATGTGGAATATAAACAAGTTGTACTCCTAAAACAAGAATAGAATGGTGGTTACCAGGGTCTGGGAGGTGGGAGAAATGGGGAGATGTTGGTCAGAGGACACAAACTTTCAGTTTACAGATGAGTAAGTTCTAGAGCTCCAATGTACAGCATGGTGACTATGTTAATAATAACATGTTGTACACTTAAAATATGGTAAGAAAGTAAATGTTAACATTAGCGCACACACACACAAATGTTATCACATAAAGGTAACTATGTGAAGTGATAATGGTGTTAATTAGCTTGATTGGGGTAATGATTTTACAATATACATGTGTATCAAATCATCACTTCATATACCTTAAATATATATGATTTTTGTCAGCCAGATCTCAATAAATCTAAAACAAATTTCCAGAGGGTATCCTGCCCAACTACTACCCCCACTTCACGTTATTAAATGTTGAAGTAAAAGGTTTGCTCCTTATACAAAATATTGCCAGTGTTAGAGCCTGATGAAGAATATAACTAGGACTCTTCCATCAGATCCTTGGGGAAATCCTGTCTATAAGGATTATAAAAATCCTGCTTCTAATACTTAGAAGAAGTATTATTTAGAGTTTTTAAGCTATGACACATGCTGTCTTCTATGTAAATTTTGTAGTTGGATCAAGCCATGGCATCAGAGAACTCTGAAGTCAGGTCAGAATGATTGGACTATTGATGAAATCGTCCTAATTCACTTGTATTTTAATGTAATAGTATTCGCCTTATATACTGAGTCATAAGAAATGTCATGTATAAGTCACTGTTGTATTTCATTTTGTGAACATTATCAAATCATTTTTATTATATTACACAGACCATCTTTATGAGGCTTTCTCAATGAGAACCTCAAGTGTGATGACTGTTCACCCATTTTGTAACTCAATACTGTGAATAACTTTTACTACTCATAAAAATGAACAAGTTCCTCATCAATGCTAAATAATGAAACTCAATCAAGATGAAATAGATAATCAGAATAGTCTTATAGTTATTAAAGAGATTTAATTTATAATTAGAAAGGACAAAAGGAAGTAACACTGAGGCTCAGATGGTTTCACTGGAGGATTTTAACAACAATTGATGTTTTTATCATATTTGATCAATTTGAATGCCACAGTTTTTTCCCACACTAATATCCTGTTTATAAACTATCATCTTGATTCTTTTTGTATTTGTACAAATCTTTCATACAACTTTCAGCTTTCATACAATTTTCATCTTTGCATGAGAGATAAAGCAACATATCTGTGTCTGGGATACAGTGGTGAAAATTTTCATACAAGTATCAAAAAATTGTTTACTTTCTATTTCTCTGCAAAATGTCCTTTCTAGATTTCTGAATGTTTTCAGGAGAAAACAAAATATTATGAAATGAAATTTAATCGATATTCATTTTTTAGTGGGTCTAAAACTTTCCTCACTAGTTTGTTTCCCAAAAAAATGGTACTAGAGCTTTGAGGAGTGAACTGCGGCATATCTGAGAAAGTCTCTCCATTGAACTAAACAACTGTCCAATAGGTAGAGCAGCTAGGCACTAAACTTTCACTTCAAATCTTTACATGGGTTTAAGAACTTAAATGGCTACAAAGGGCAAAAAAAAGGTAAGTTAATGAAACATGTTTAGAGGCATTCTCATGTCACGAATGAAATGAATAAATGCATTTTTAAAATATGACATAAGAATAGAAATATGGCAATACTTTCTGCCTCATTTTTTCTTAGTCTTTCCATTTATCTTTCACTTTTGCACTCATGAACCATGAGTGCGTAGAACTACATGTTTATTTACTATACAAACCCAAGGACAATTCTTAACTGATAGTTTGCCTCAGTGCTGGGAAAAGAAAGTTAGGTGAGACAGAAATGTGATGCAGAAAGACTCAGCTCCAGCTTATTGCAGTCTTGATGAAATGTGGACCCAATTATTGCCAAATGTTACTATTATTCAGGAGGGACCAGAACGACACACATTTTAAATGAAATACACAGTATAAAAATTTGTGCCATCCAAAGCAAACCTTTCTATGTCTGGGATACAGTGGTGAGCCCACCTGTGACCTCTATGTAAGATGTTCATCTATTGTCCTCTGGAATTTAATGTTGTGGAGGAAAAGTCTAACACATCCTAATTTTCCTTTATATCATTTGTTATTAGTACTTTTCCCCTGCCAAGATATTTGTATAGTTTAAAAGATACTATGAAAATTCTAAATGTTTGGATGTCTAGGTTTGAATTCCTTTATTCTTTTTCCATATACACTATGGACATGTTTTACTTATAAATTTGACTTCAACTCTAGAACAGTTTTTCACTGTACTATTGATTTTTAATTGTTTGTTCTTTCTTAATTTTCCAGTTTATAGGTTGTTTCTCCAGACGCTATCCTCTATGATATAGCTGTTATCTCTCTCCATATTTTTGTCTTTGTTCAATTCCTCTGCACATTTGGAGAGATTCCCAGTGTTCTCATAAACAACATAGCTCTTCCTTAGCCATCCTTTTTTATACTCTTGCCTTGATAGAAATAAAATTGGAGTATTTCCTGGGCTAGGTAACTAAGGCAGGTAAGACTACAGCTATGTTATATATGCACACATACAAACATAGCTATCATATATATTCTACATATAGTTAGATAGAAAAATATAGCATACTAAAGAAATATAAGACAAAAACAGACTCTGAAAGTTGCACTGTCTGTTTCACTTTCCCTATCCCTAAATGCACAAAACGATTTTAAGATCTTTTTAGGATTTGAGAGAAAATGATAGTCTAATGTATCTATCACAATCAGAAAGAATGCAGACCTTTTTAAAAATTTTACAACTACAGTAGAGCACTTAAATGGAGCAATGGGTTATCTTCTCATGTGGTAGAAGAGAATGAAGAAGGGAAAAAGAGATAGCCAGGCCTCCATCTCTGTGCAGAGCCATCTGTCTATTGCTAGTCCAAAGACAACAAAGAAAAAGGTGGAAGAGAAGAGCCAAACTACAGTGACTCATCCACTAAAAAGAGAGCCCCATTAATGATCTCAAATTTCCCACAGCAATTCCTTTTTCATCACTGAGGATGAAGAGAAAGATAGGGACTTTTAAAAAAAGATAGTTTAGATTCCTATTCAGAGGAGATACACTGGTTCTAATGCAGTTTTTATTGTTTCTTTGCACTCTAATTCCTAGTAAGCCTGTCTCTTATCTCATTCACCTCTTCTCAAAAAATATTTTGGATGCCTATCAGGGATTTCTAAATTCATCTAAATCTGGTTTCTTATTATCTCATCTTATATGTCATTTTATTGAATCTGCATTTTGTTAAATTTTGATGTCAATAATCTTTCAAAAATATTCTCCTATCTCCTAGGAATAAACCGTTTTGACAATATCTTCTTCCTCTGTTTCTTTGGGTTATGTGTTCCTTTCTTTATTGCATTTGAGCATGTATATGTTTGCATGTATTTGCTAGTCTTTGCATTTTGAAACTTACTCAAGCCACAGTACTGGATTCTCAAGTAGTGTAAGTGTGATTTTCTTGGATTTGCATAATTTAATATTTATTAATATATTAAATATTCATTGAGAGCCTATTTTCATACCATGAGAAATCATTCCATTTGATTGCTGGTATAATTATCCTCTCAGGTAACAAATTTATTGCTCCCAATATGGCTCTTAACTTTGGGTAGTAATAAGCAAAACTTGCCAAACTGTGTTTTCCTTTTGTTATTTTTTTTCTAATTCCTGCACAAACCAACTTCAGATATATCCTTTGTGATCATTTCTAAATCTGATATTTGCCACAACAGAGAAGGCACCACAACATGTATCTGAAATTTCATGCAGGAAAAGTATGCCCTTCCCTAACATTAACACCAATAAATATTTTACTATTTTGTAATAACTATTTTAAAAATTTCAGACAGATTCATTCAGGCACCATTATTACATCCCTAACTCAACTCCTAATGGCTTGGTTATTGTGTCTCTTGCTTTAGTACACAGCTGGACTTGAATGCCACTACATCACAAAACAAGAGTTTCCAAAGAACCCCACTCCAAGGATGCTCCAACATTCCTTCATGCCTATAGCACTCAACCTTTGGTAGACTCACCCAGTTTGATGTTGTATCATTTTTTGGATACAAAGTTTCTATAATATTGGTCCAGGAATAAAATACATTTTCTTCAAAGTTAGAGGGTTTTTTATGTGTATATATATGTATATATATATATATATATATATATATACACACACACACACACACACACACACGCTCACAAACACATATAAATATATGTGTACATAAATATATATGTACATATATACACACACACAAACACACACACACACACACACACACACACATATATATATATATATATATATATATATTTAAGGGGTACAAGGGCAATTTTGCTACACAGATATTTTGCCTAGTAGTGAAGTCCTGGCTTTTAGTGTATCCATCACCCAAATAATGTATATTGTACCCATTAAGTAATGTCTTATCATCCACTCCCCTCCCACTACCCCACTCTTCTAGTCTCAAATATCTATCAGTCCACACTTTATGTCTACGTGTAGATATTATTTAGCCCCTGCTAATAAGTAAGAATATGTGGTATTTGTTTCAGAGTTGTTTCAGTTAAGATAATGGCTTCTAATTCCATCCATGTTGTTGCAAAGGACATGAATTATTTTTTATGACTGAATAGCATTCCACTTTGTATATATACATTTTCCTTACCCAATCATCCATTGATGGACTTTTAGGTTGATTCCACATCTTAGCTATTATAAGCATAGAAGTGGCTTGATAAGCATACAAGTGGAGGTATCTTTTTGGTATAATATTTTCCTTTGGGTAGATACCCAGTAACGGGAATGATGCACTGAAGGATAGTTATATTTTTAGTTACTCAAGAAATCTCCATACAGGTTTCCATAGAGGCTATACTAATTTACATTCCCACCAACAGTTTATAAGCATTCCCTTTTTTCCTTATTCTCACCAATGTCTGTTATTTTTCTCTTTTAAATAATAGCTATCTCACTGGTGTAAGATGATATTGCCTTTTGATTTAATTTGCAATTTCTCTGATGATTAATGATGTTGAACATTGTTTCAGATGTTTCTTGGTGATTTTTATGCCTTCTTCTGAAAAATACCTATTCATGGTTTTTTGCTCACTTTTAATGGAATGTTTTAAATGTGATATAAATTTATAATTTATTCTTAATATTTCTTATTGACATTTGTGTCTAAATGCAGGAGATTTAGCATTTGCCATTAGAATTGTTTCTAAAGGTGGGAAAAGAGTGGCATCTTTTCCTTTTCTAGTATGAAAATATTGTGACACATCTACAGGTATCATGTAGATTTTCCTAGCAAATGAAATTTGCTGGCTTGTTAAACTTTTGGAGGGGTTTGAGAAGGGTACATAATCACCCATCCATCTTCTTTTCCAGATCCTGAACCAATTGAATAGACAGAGGGTACCAGTAGAAAATTTTAGCATTATCTGTCTTATCATTGGTATAATTGGATGCTGACACGTGGCATTGACTTAAGGCCGAAATGCATTTTTCTATTGTTACCTTCTCACTGATTAAAATTTATTCACCTAGGCACAGAAAGGGCATAACTTCAGGGCTTTCCTCAGGTGAATGGGGATTGTAGAAGCTCTATGCCTAGGATATGGAAGTACCACTGGGGAGAATCTATAGCCATTATTAGAAAACAGAAGGCAACTTCCATGGTAAGCAGGAGGACAGACCACATTAGTGTCAAGTCAATGACTGTTGGGGCCTCAGCAGTATATTATGCCTCATCCTATCTGGAAGTGTCCTCTCAAGAGAGGTTGGAAACCTGAGTAGAAGAATCATAAACATTTTCTCCAAAATATACTTTGTCAAATTGTCTTTTGATATATTTATGATTATGTCCTCATTTTAAGGTAGCAGGAAACCCTCAGAGTAGACCATTCTGCCAGTGGAAAAGAAACAGTGAAGAGCTCCTGGCCACACGTATATAGAATTATGCTCTGTGACATCCCTCACTTTTTGTCACTGTTCCCATAGTTTTCATCATACTTCCTCTATCTCAGAAATTGTCTCTTTCAAAAAACAGTACAAGCTTCCTGTTGAAACAAACATGTACTATGGTGCAACTCACATTGGAAGAGGGGATCTTTATTGTGATGATTTAGTACCCTTTATAATTTGTGTATTTGAATGTAGGCTTGCTTTTCAATGTTTTTGTCCTATTGCAAAGGACTAGAAGGAGTGATTTAGTTTATTTACCTGGCAACTTCATTTATAATGTCATTATGTAAGTATTAAATCATTGATGAGTAAATAAGGTTGAGTTGATTTGACTAGGGAAAAAGACAAAATTATTTAAATATAAAGGCATTGATAGCATGTGCCATTATCTTAGTACATATACTTTGGCTTTATACATTTTTCAAATTTCAGGAAAATACTTCAAATACATAAACATTTTCTATCTTGGTAGTTGTTTATTTTCCCACTTCAAGTGACAGTCTACTTCATCTTAAACAAGGAGATTTGCCCCCTACCAACTGATTACCCCAATGGAACTGAATTCGATGACCAAAAACATAATGGAAAAAAAAGTTGTGAAGAAAAATAAATTCATACTTATCTTCCTTTCACAAAGGACAATTGTACCTAAGGAATTAATAAGTTTTAATGAAATAAATATGTTTTTCTATGTTTTTGTGAATTATGATGCTGATATATGCATGCACTTTTATAACATAAACAGAAACTGCACTCATGTCACTGAATGCTGACAGGAAAAGAAATGCTATTTAATCTTTGTCACAACTGACAAATGTTTACTTTTAAAATTTTAACAAATACTAGTGGATACATTCATGTGTACTTGACATCCTTTCATTTCACTCAATAGAACTTGCCTTTTTAATCTTATCTCCTTTCCTCTACACTCTATTACTCTAGAAATGGGTTATGTTTCACCCCGGGAATAGTTTCATGATAAAATACTGGACTATAAAGGCAAAGTGGCCCTATATTAAATAGATTATGTGGTCTACCCAAAATGTTCTGTGCCTGGTTGTCCCTTAAATATCTACAGACAAAAAGACATCAAGCAAATCCCATTTTAATAGCATTCAAATGTTATTCTATCGGTATTATGTAAACAGTGAACTGAAACCACCAAAGCAATGTAGCACGGTAGGATAGTTCAAAGGTTAGCCTTAAATGTATCTTGTTGTTACGAAATAATGTCTCACTTTAGCATTAAGTTTACATTAAAATTTACTTAGATTCTTATAATGACACATTTTGCTTTTTAAACCTGAGGTTTCATTTCACAGAACTTAGCGTTAGCATTTTCTTATTCACTTTTTATTTATTCATAATTATATGCCCAGAAAGGATTATAATACGTGAACATCAAATGCTGAAATATCTCACGCCCAGTGATGCCACTGACTGCTCCAAGATGCCTACTCCAAACTAGAAACAGCATTCTATCTCTTGACTTCTGAATTATCTAATGCATTTTATTGAAAATATATCCCATATCTTTACCATAATTTTAGATAGTTATAGTGTCACCGGTTAGTCACTTCTGTAGTATGTCTCTAGTGTGCAGTTTCCTTTCATAAATACAAAGATCAGTAAGTTCTGTGCATGCTATGACCCAGGAATGGAACTTAACTACTATGTCAGTGTAAAAACATGTCAGGAATATCAAAGACTGTGGGAAACACTTAGATCATATACTTCCTGAGATAATTTGAATGCCAACACTGAAAATCAATCCCTGAATCTAAAAATTTAAAGAATAAAATAATATATTAATAATTTTGGACAAATAACTCCTTAAATGGAAATTAGGTGCTTTGCCAGAACCAGAATTGAGGCCAAAGCTTGGACTCAATTATGAACCTTTGGTCTTTGGGTCTACCATCCTTTACTTTTTCCCTAGGAACTCTAGTATGACCTGCAAAATACTTGTGCAACAATAACTTTAATATTTAAAAAATATTTGCAAAATATTTTGCCAGCCCACATATTTAAGGCTGCTACTACTAGGTAAAGGCTCCTTTGCGGAATTAGAAATAGGTGTTTCCACTTTGGGAAGCCGAGGCGGGCGGATCACTTAATATCAGGAGCTCAAGACCAGCCTTGCCAACATGGTGAAATCCCGTCTCTTCTAAAAATATAGAAATTAGCTGGGCGTGGTGGTGCATGCCTGTAATCTCTACTACTCCAGAGGCTGAGGCAGGAGAATCACTTGAACCTGGGAAGTGGAGGTTGCAGTGGGCCAAGACTGCTCCACTGCATTGCAGCCTAGGTGACAGAGACACTCTGTCAAAAAAATAAAAAAGAAAGAAAAAAAAAGAGGGAGAGAGAGAGAGAGAAAGAGAGAGGGAAAGAAAGAAAGAGGGAGAGAAAGGAAGAAAGGGAAGGAAGGAAGGAAAGAAGGAAGGAAGGAGGGAAGGAAGGAAGGAAGAAAGGAAGAAAGGAAGAAAGAAGTGAAGAAAGAAAAAAAAAAAAAAAAAAAGAGAAGGACATCCCAGGGCCAGGTGCAGTGGCTCCTGCCTGAAATCCCAGCACTTTGGAAAGCCAAGGTAGGTGGATCTCTTGAGTCCAGGAGTTTGAGACCAGCCTGGCAAAAATAGCAAAAGCCTGTCTCTACTAAAAACAGAAAATTTACCAGGGCGTTGTGGCCCGGGCCTGTGGTCCCAGCTACTCAGGAGCCTGGGGTGGGAGGATTGCTTAAGCTTGGGAGGTGGAGGTTGTAGTGAGCCGAGATTCCACCACTGCACCTCAGCCTGGCCACAGAGCGAGACCCTGTCTCAAAAGCAAGCAAGCAAGCAAACAAACAAAACAAACAAACAAAAAATGCGAATAAGGTCACCACCACCCCACCGCCCCCACCGCCATGGGAAGGTGAATTACTAAAAAAGCATGGCTTTCCTCAGGAATAATGCAATCATACTCAAAGAACTTGTTTAGAGGAAATTTTGGCTTAACCCTGTGCAGGGCAAAATTTATATGTTCATGGTTGACCTGAATCTATATATCTTAAGTTCACTTTCTTCACAAAGCAGTGAGAATAAAAGTTTACTGAACCACAGAAGTGCTGTATTAGCTGAGTGTTCTCATCACTGTATTTGTCACTTGCTTACCACATGTTTTCTTTAAACCTTAATCCAGTTATCTTTTCTTCCTTGTGCATTTGGACTAATGTTCAGTGCCATGAGACAGCATATTATGAAAATTAGTATTTACAACCATTTTTATGAGTTTGCTACCAATATGTATTTTTCTAAATTGTCACTGAAAATTTTGCATAATCTCAATGATCATGCAAAGGCAAAATGAAATGTTGGTAAAATTTTTCAACAGTTCAATTATTTCTCTATTGTCAATCCAAGATACAAGTATATTTCCTTTTAAACGTGCCAAACTGATAGAAGCCAATGAATGGAATTCAGCAGTTAAATTTTCTTGTAAAAATATTTTGATATTTCTTCTTAATTTTTCTCTACAGGAGATTTTTATGTCTTGCCAGGATCTGTCTTTTTGCCTAAATTGAGCAGTAGACATTACTGGGATTCTCAAGCTTTTAAAAAAATTATGAATACATCAAGATTCATTTAAACTTTTGTTATCAGGTAATTTAAACACATACCACACTTTTAAAGCTTTAAAGTAGATCAAATACCACAACTATCTCATCAGGGTGTAATAACCAAATGACATACAAATGTTAAGCACTTAGAAGTGTATTTGGCATTAAGTAATAAGCACTCATTAAATAGTAGTTACTATTAACATCCTTTTATTCACAAAAAAATCTAAAACTCATAAAATTTGAGAAGATTTTTGTTGATGTAATAAGAAGCCAGTTTACAATAAAGTTTAACATCTATATGAAGTCATCTAGGTCTTGCACCTTTTACAATTTGGTCTTAGGAATTTGCACGAATGGTAAAGCTAAAGAATAAATTTCTTACTTATAGATTCAGTTTAGAATAAGCAATATATACATGCTGAATATTTAGAGGAAACAGTAATAGAAGGAAAAATAAAAGTAAGTGATGATACATGGGCATCTGGAAGAAGAAAAATATTATGTTGCTATTAATAGATTCCTTTTAAAAGTATCAGGTTTGTGTGCTGCCTTTTCAAAACCCACACACTTTGAGTGTTAAGAGGAGGAGTTGTTAGTACTGAAGTAATTATAACAAGGGTGTAAGTTTCTGTAGGTGGAAGACAACTTATTCTAAGGAGAGACTTATTTTAGACTTAAATAATATTCTATTGAATTTAGGGATTTAGGCAAGGCTGAAGTTCTCTCTGCAATGTATTCTGCAATGTAAGAATAAAAATGTGCTTCATATTTGCACAGAGGCAAATTTTCTCTGTTAAACACGAATGTTAAGTGAAGCATATCAAGAGGCTAAACTTGCCCTGTGAACTGTGTAATAGTCAGGCCTTGCACCCCTTACAAAAGATGAAATTTCATCATTTGCCTTTGGGCATTTACTTGCCTAATATCTTTATTATCATAAAATTGGCATACTTACAGCCTTTAATTTAAAACTCTGAGCTATAAAAATAACTTTTACAGAGAATCATCTTTAAAAAAAAAGGATTGTTAAGACCTACAACCCAATAATTTATTCTCAAGTTTAATTCTGGAGAATAAGAACTTTAGTGCCATGATTTGAAAATTTCCTATCAGTTTCTCTTCAGAACTAAAGAGATCTATACCCATAGCTGGTATCTAGATTTTGTATTAGGGCCCCATTTTTAAAATATTTTCAAACTCTTTTATTTTTTTAATAATATTACCCATTGAAATTTATCCTATGCCAGGATTATTGAGGAATTAGGTTTTTCAAATGTGCATAAGTGCACTGTTGAAATATGGATTGACCTTGAGTTGTTAGAAAAAAAGTCGTTCAGAGGTGTTTGCTAGGTAACTCCAATTGCAAAAGAAACTGGTTATATAATTGTATAAAAGTATTAATCTTTTCTCATTCCAATTTGAATTTAGCCCACTACCATGTAAGGTACAAGGAGCCCTAGAACAGGGTCTGAAACATAAGAATTCAATAAATATGAATATAATTAATGAATAAAAGTAGATGCCCTAGCTGAGACTCTTTATTCAAAAGCAGGACCTCCGACTGTTAATGTGGTTTAATTAAAATGCTCAGGCACAATGTTGGTATTCTTTCCTCCATTCATAGCCACCCTCCCACTCCACTATCATGTTAATAAATGAAAACACTGATATATTACCATACACTAAGAATTTTACATACATTAACTCATTGAATCTTCTTAATAATGTTATGAGGTAGATGTTCTATTTACCCCAGTTGAGTTAGATGAAGGACGTGAAGCACCAGCAAGTTAACTGAGCTACCCTAAGTTACAGGGGCTCATAAGCAGTTAGGATCAGAACACAGAACAGAGTAGCTTCATGGCTGTGCACAATACCCTGCACCGTCCCACCCTGACTCCTAGCCATGTTTGATGACAAAATGTCAAATCTTGCTCTTTGTGCATAATTTGCCTGAAGATACAGAGAAATTATCCTGCCTCCACCCCATACTCTTCACCCGGTCACATTTGCCAGCTCATGGGCCTAGAAAAGCAATCTTCAGCTCTTTCCGAGTAAAGCAGGCTAATAGAGCAAGCCTGCAGCCTGAAAAAATTTGATTTCACTCTTAATAACATACTTAATTACATTACAAATCTAACATTTTATTTGACTCTCCCAAATTGAAGTTCAGAGTCAATTAGTTAAGTAATATGTAAAAAAAAACAAACAAACAAAAAAAAAAACAGGACTTGAGAACTTAGGGGATGTGATTCCGAAGTGCCCGAGTGGCAATGTTTCCTGTGTGTCTGAGGCTCAAAAATTTCACATCGAGAGAGGTGCTGGATTTCAAGTGTTGAGTGACTATACTTGAATCACAAGGCAATTCATTCCCAGATCCCAGGTCATCACATATCTCCAGAGAAATATAGGAGATGAAACCATGGGACGGATTTACACACTCAAGGGGGCTCATTTGAGAACTATCCCAAATGAGGATGGGGGAGTATCCAGGAATGATTCCGCATGATATGCGTGCTTTGGCACTATGATTTCCTTACCCAATTCCAAATCTTGCACATCAAAACAACAGAAAGACTCATAAATGCAGAAAAGCTCATTAGCTGAATAGTGGTGGCAGAAATGAGGACATATTTGGCTGGAAAGTGTTTAAATCCTTGTGATCTCAGAGCTCATAATGTGTACAAACCCAAAGACATCATTAACCATGTACAGAGTTGTGCTTCTGTAGTCCCTTTAACATTGAACATGAGAGAACAAGACTCCCTGGAAATAAACAAAATCCACCCCTATGCCCCACACCTAACGTCAGGACAACCAAAAGGCATGAATGAATGTAGAAAGCAAAAGTATCCCAGAGCTTAACTTCTTGGACCGTGAATTATTCTCTAGTGTGTAAGGAAATTATATTCCTGGAGGCAGCCTCTGAGGCAGTTTTAACCTAGAAACTTTTCCAGAATCTGCCATAAGCCCCTGCTTTAAGCCAGGGGCTCTATCTGTTGAGTGTTGCTGCTTCTGCTGCTGTAACAAATTACCAAAGCTGTAGTAGCTTAAAATGACACCAATTTATTATCTTAAAGTTATTATGGTCTGTAGTTCAAAATGGGTTGGCAGGATTGTGTTCCTTCTAGAAATTCAAGAAGAGAATCCAATTCCTTGTCCTTTTCAATTTCAGGGGGTTTCATGCATCCAATGACTCACAGTCTCTTTCCTCCATCTCTAAAGACAACAGAGGTTTGAATTCTTCTGACACTGAATCACTCTGACCTCTACTTTTCTTTTAACATTTCTTCTCTGGTCTTAATCCTGCTGTCTCAATTTTATAAAGCCCTTATGAATACATTAGGTCCACTTATGTAATACAGGATAATCTGTCTATCTGAAGATTCTTAATCACATCTACAAAGTCCCCTTTTGCCATGAAAGGTAACTGTGATGGTTAATATTAAGTGTCAACCTGATTGGATTGAAGGATGCAGAGTATTGTTCCTGGGTATGTCTGTGAGGGTGTTGCCAAAGGAGATTAATATTTGAGTCAGTGGACTGGGAGAGGCAGACCCACCCCCAATGTGGGTGGGCACCATCTGGTCGGCTGCCAGTGCAGCTTGAAAAAGCAGGTGGCTTAAGCTGGCTTTTGCTGAGTCTTCTGGTTTTCATCTTTCTCCTGTGCTGAATGCTTCCTGCCCTTGAACATCAGACTCCAGGTTGTTCAGCCTTTGGATTCTTGGACTTACACCAGTGGTTTGCCAGGGGCTTTTGTGTCTTTGGCCACAGACTGAAGGCTGCATTGTCAGCTTCCCTACTTTTGGGGTTTTGGGACTTGGACTGAGCCACTACTGGCTTCCTTGCTCCTCAGCTTACAGACGACCTAACTTGGGACTTCACCTTGTGATCCTGTGAGTGAATTCTCCTTAATAAACTCCCTCTCATGTATACATATATCCTGCTGGTTCTGTCTCTCTGGAGAATCCTGACTAACACAGTAACATAGGCAGAGGTTCTGAAGATTAGGATGAGGGACATTTTAGGGGGAGAGCCATTATTGTACCTATCACGGAGGCCCACGATAGGGAAAAACACTATAGTTTTTTAGGATGATTTTCTAAAACCTCCATTATCCATGGGGGCCTGAGCTAAAATTTGCCTGTTGTTTTTCTGTGATCATAAGGAAAATATTTGCTTTTTACTAGAGGCCAAGGGACAGTTTATGGGCATGGGGTTTCTTCTTTTGGAGTAGTCTGGAGGTGGGCTGATTCTTACTCATGTTTAGGGCATGTGGAAGTTACTCAGTGAGGGAAGGAATTAGGGCTCAAAATGACAGTAAGTGCCAATTTCCTCCTTAGCTTGCTTAAAGGTCATTTACATTTGTCACAGGATATTTGACCAAGCTGTTGGTTGCTATCTCCATTGACAGAGGATACTCCAGTGGAATGAAAGCTAATTTTGCCCTCCTTTCTTCTAAGTTTTGGGCTTTTGGCCTCAGGGATTGTAAATGGCTTTGTGTTTCTTGTGCCCCTCCCACCCCTTAAAAAAAGTTATTAGGCACTTAAACTGCTTGATCCAGTTTAAGAAGGAATTTAGCTGGATGTTCTGGAAAGGGAAGAAATGAAGTCTGGTGTGGGATATTTCTGGATTGATAGAGAGGTTTAAGGTTATCAGTGCTGGATCTTGAGTAAGGGAAAGTGGATATGATTTCTTCCACAGTCAGGAACTATTGTGGCAATGCCCCTGGAGGCAGCTGGAATTCTGAAGGGGTCAGCTGATGTGTTTGCTGGATAGGCTAAGCATCAAGTTCCTCTGTATCTCCTAGACTACCCTAGAGGTTGCCAAGAAAGGAGCCTTGCGTTGTGAGAAATTATTTGGACATTGGTGACAGAAAACAAAATTCAACTGAATTGAACTATGAATGTAAATGTGTTGACTCATGCAACTGACAAGTCTGAGATGACAGCTGCAATCAGCTGCAGGGGGTTGGTGGCTGTACTCTCATAGGATCTTAAAAGCCTTTAAAAAGACCACCAGGCTGCCAGTCTTTCTTTCCCCTACTGTTTTTGTAATACCACAGACCTGGGAAGAGAGAGGAACATTTGATTTATTTTTGGCTTTTTCAGGATCAGACATCTGGTACCAACACACCTGCATGATGTTTGCTCTAGATGGTTCATGAGTTCCTGAGAGCTCAGCTCTTCCCAAGATGTGCTCCTTCCAATTTTTTGGCTTGGAGATCACAAACCATGCTCCAGACTTTCTCCCAGGTCATAAGGGCATATTCTGACCCCAGCTCTCTCTGTCATATGTTAACAGAGTCCAATTCTTTCTCAACATGCAACTCCCTATAAACCTTTGAAGCCATTTTGCTTAGCAAAATAGGAGAAAATGAAGTGGAAAATTAGAAAACCCTCTACCCATAAACTTTAGAGTAAAATATAAATTGGTACATGTAAATAGTTATTTGTTAAATACTATCAAAACATAAAATATACTGTTCAGCTTCAAAGAGTATAATAGCACATGTACATGAAAATATACATACAAAGATATTTATTACATCATTTGTAATAGAATAATGTAAAAAGTAGTTGAATATCTGTTGGCACATCCTTACAGTAGGATGTTATAGAATTATTAAATGAATATACAGATAAGTTTTCTGTGACATAATTTTTCAGTAAACATTAGAGACAGCAGCTTAAATTGTATGACATTATTTCTTTTAAATAATATTTAAATAATAAAATAATATTTATTTTAAAATGATTCCTTTTAAAAAATTTATGTTTTTATGTTGCTGCATATAAATATAAAAAATATGTATATTAACAGAGAGAAAGAAATGCCTGTTTGGATTTATAATAAAGGTGATAATTGTACCCACCAAATATTTAAAGGTAGTTGCTAATAAAAGCAAATGTATTTATGTTTCATTTAAATTTTATTTAATTAAAAATAAATAGTGGAAGGTCAGGAGCTTGAGACCAGCCTGGACAACATGGTGAAATCCCATCCCTACAAAAATTAAAAAAATAATAATAAACTGGGCATGGTGATACACACCTGTTGTCCCAGCTACTGGGGAGGCTAAGATGAGAGGATGACTGGAGAACCAGAGGCAGAGGTTGCAATGGGCTGAGATAGTGCCACTTCGCTCCAGCTTGGATGACAGAGAAAGAACCTAACTCAAAATAAATAAATAAATAAAATAAGATAAGATAAAACAACAAAATAACAATTAAAAAAATAGTGGACTTATGGGTGATTTGTATCGTCATTTGATGAGAAAGACATGGGTGCAGAGTTTAAGGCATACCTATCCTATCTCAACTACAGCAGCCTCAGCGTAGAAATAGTGAAGCTAGCAATAATAAGCCACGTCTCCCTGAAAGCTTCTCTTATGTAAAACCTATAGGAGTGACAAGGTATGTGTGTGTTTGTGTGTAGGGGGGTGTATGTAGTATGTATCTTCCAGCTTTTTCTTTTTTCATTTTGTCTGCTTTCAGTGTGGTTTTTCTCCCAAGGCTCTTTGTGAAACCTATTTGAAAATGGTGGCCGCTGCTGCCCACTGTGAGATGTTAGACATACTCCCTCATCTGCCAACATTGCCCTCTTCTGTCCCTATGAATTTCACTGCCAACCCCAGTTCCTAATACCAAGTGCTATCACTTTCTTTGCTGATACTGGGAAACTCCTAGAATCACCTACGCGGTGCTTTGTTATCTGGAGTTCTTAGTGACAGCCTTATGCTATGTCCTGAGCTGTAAGTGAGAAAAATGTTGATCTTTTATGTTGCATTCTTCTAGAATAGGTGCTAAACTTTAATGTTCTGATGTTTTGCAGATATTTACCTACAGCCTCTTCTTTTGTATTTCAAACATGAGCCCATGTGATTGCTAAGCTGAGAAAATTTGTCTAACAACAACAGAATGTACTGAGAACAACAATTCCTTCCCTTAGAATAACTCTTCTCCCAAGAGTTTTTGATGCCTCATGAAAATAGCGTGAATATTAAGAAAAATATCCACTAACATTCTGGAAGGATTATAAGATGTCAGGTATTGTTACAAGTGCTTTACATATATTCACTCATTTAATCTTCACAACGCTTTGAGGTGTATAGTAGAATGCATCATTTTCATTATGATAAAAACTGTGTGATATATTTCAAGCCACTCTATAGAGCAATTTTAATACACATTTTACTAATATTTATAAACATAGTCCTCAAAGCCCCTAAGTTAAAATTTAAAAATACAGACCAAGCTGAGTCAGAGTATCAGTTACTTTATCCACCAAAGGTTTACAAAAAAAAACTAGATTAATTTTAAAGCAAAAGCTATTTTGATATACAATGTATATAATAAGGTAGGATAAATTTATAAAGTAAGAAAAAAGAAAAATACTAAAGACCATACAAATACAGTCTGAATAAAGTACAAAATGAAATGGGAGTTACTTATGAAGAGGCATACTGCCAAGTTCTCTCTTGTGATCTGTGAAGTCAGCCTCATAATTTTCAGTTACTCATACCTATTCTCCCTTTCCTACATCAATTCATGGTCTAAATCCTAATGTACTTCCATTGATATCCACTCCTACTGTTCTATTAATTTCCAAGCTGCTCTAAGTGTCCACGGACACTTGAGTTGGCCTTGTCCCCAAAATACCTTTTCTACTACCATAGAAAAAAGGTTGTATTATTTCAATCCATTTCAGTTTAATTTTGGCTCCTAATGATCCACTGATACCTAAGAACTTAAAAACCATACCAAACTGTGAGATTTTGCACTCAACAATTTCTTTTTTGAACATAACTTCCACCTCTTTCATTACTACTTTCTTTTTTTTTCTTTTTTTTTAAATTACACTGTAAGTTCTGGGATACGTGTCCAGAATGTACAGGTTAGTTACATAGGTATACACGCGCCATGGTGATTGCACCCATCAACCTGTCATCTGCATTAGGTATTTCACCTAATGCTATCCTTCCCCTAGCCACCCACCCCTTGTAAGTTGGACTCCTAAATGGTGTGTGATGTTCCCCTCCCTGCGTCCATATGTTCTCATTGTTCAACTCCCACTTATGAGTGAGAACATGTGGTGTTTGGTTGTCTGTTCCTGTGTTAGTTTGCTGAGAATGATGGTTTCCAGCTTCATCTATATCACTGCAAAGGACATAAACACCCTTTTTTATGGCTGCATTGTATTGCATGGTGTATGTTTGCCACATTTTCTTTATCCAGTCTATCATTGATGGGCATTTGAGTTGGTTCCAAGTCTTTGCTATTGTGAACAGTGCTGCAATAAACATACATGTGCATGTATCTTTATAGTAGGATGATTTATAATCCTTTGGGTATATACCCAGTAATGGGATTGCTGGGTCAAATGGTATTTCTAGTTCTAGATCCTTGAGGAATCGCCACACTGTCTTCCACAATGGTTGAACTAATTTACACTTCCACCAACAGTGTAAAACCGTTCCTATTTCTCCATATCCTCTCCAGCATCTGTTGTTTCCTGACTTTTTAATGATCACCATTCTAACTGGTGTGAGATGGTATCTCATTGTGGTTTTGATTTTCATTTCTCTGATGAACAGTGATGATGAGCTTTTTTTCATATGTTTTTTGGCTGCATAAATGTCTTCTTTTGAGAAATGTCTGTTTGTATCCTTCGCTCACTTTTTGATGGGGTTGTTTGATTTTTTCTTGTAAAAATTTGCTTAAGTTCCTCGTAGATTCTAGCTATTAGACCTTTGTCAGATGAATAGATTGCAAAAATTTTCTGCCATTCTGTAGGTTGTCTATTCACTCTGATGACACTTTCTTTTGCTGTGCAGAAGCTCTTTAGTTTACTTAGATCCTATTTGTCAATTTTGGCTTTTGTTGCCATTGCTTTTGGTGTTTTAATCATGAAGTTTTGGCCCATGCCTGTGTCCTAAATGGTATTACCTAGGTTTTCTTCTAGGGTTATTATTGTTTTAGGTCTTACATTTAAGTCTTTAATCCATTTTGAGTTAATTTTTGTATAAGGGGTAAGGAAGGGGTCCAGTTTCAGTTTTCTGCATGTGGCTAGCCAGTTTTCCCAACACCATTTATTAAATAAGGAATCCTTTCGCCATTGCTTGTTTTTGTCAGGTTTGTCAAAGATCAGATGGTTGTAGGTGTGTGGTATTATTTCTGAGGCCTCTGTTCTGTTCCATTGGTCTACATGTCTGTTTTGGTACCAATACCCTGCTATTTTGTTTACTGTAGCCTTGTAGTATAGTTTGACATCAGGAACCATGATGCCTCCAGCTTTGCTCTTTTTGCTTAGGATTGTCTTGGCTGTATGGTTTCTTTTTGGTTCCATATGAAATTTAAAGTACTTTTTTCTAATTCTGTGGAGACAGTCAATGGTAGCTTGATGGAAATAGCATTGAATCTATAAATAACTTTGGGCAGTATGGCCATTTTCACAATATTGATTCTTTCTATCCATGAGCATGGAATGTTTTTCCATTTGTTTGTGTCCTCTCTTATTTCCTTGATCAGCAGTTTGTAGCTACCTTTGAAGAGGTCCTTCACATCCCTTGTAAGTTGGACTGCTAGGTACTTTGTTCTCTTTGTAGCAATTGTGAATGGGAGTTCACTCATGAGTTGGATCTCTATTATTGGTGTGTAGGAATGATGGTAGTTTTTGCACATTGATTTTGTATCCTGAGACATTGCTGAAGTTGCTTATCAGCTTAAGGAGATTTGGGCCTGAGATGATGGGGTTTTCTAAATATAAATCATGTAACCTGCAAAAAGAGACAATTTGACTTCCTCTCTTCCTATTTGAATACACTATATTTGTTTCTCTTGCCTGATTGCCCTGGCCAGAACTTCCAATACTATGTTGAATAGAAGTGGTGAGAGAGGGCATCCTTGTCTTGTGCTGGTTTTCAAAGGGAATGCTTCCAGCTTTTGCCTGTTCAGTATGATATTGGCTGTGGGTTTGCCATAAATACCTTTTATTATTTTGAGATACGTTCCATCAATACATAGTTTATTGAGAGTTTTAGCATGAAGGGGTGTTGAATTTTATCGAAGGCCTTTTCTGCATCTATTGAGATAATCATGTGGTTTTTGTCATTCGTTCTGTTTATGTGATGGATTACATTTATTGATTTGCATATGATGATCCAGCCTTCCATGCCAGGTCATGATGGATAAGCTTTTGGATGTGCTGCTGGATTTGGTTTGCCAGTATTTTATTGAGAATTTTCACATCAATGTTCATCAGGGATATTGGCCTAAAATTTTCTTTTTTTGTTGTGTCTCTGCCAGGTTTTGGTATCAGGATGATACTGGCTTCATCAAATGAGTTAGGGAGGAGTCCCACTTTTTCTATTGTTTGGAATAGTTTCAGAGGGAATGGTGCCAGCTCCTCTTTGTAGCTCTGATAGAATTTGGATGTGAATCCTTCTGGTCCTGGACTTTTTTTGGTTGGTAGCCTGTCAATTACTGCCTCAATTTCAGTATTTGTTATTGGTTTATTCAGGGGTTTGACTTCTTCCTGGTTTAGTCTTGGGAGAGTGTATGTATCCAGGAATTTATCCATTTCTTCTAGATTTTCTAGTTTATTTGCCTAGAGGAGTTTATAGTATTCTCTGGTGGTAGATTGTATATCTGTGTGATTGGTGGTGATATCCCCTTTATCTTTTTTATTGTGTCTATTTGATTTTTCTCTCTTTTCTTCTTTATTAGTCTGGCTAGCGGTCTGTGTATTTTGTTAATCTTTTCAAAAACCAGAAGAACTTCCCCAACCTAGCAAGGCAGGCCAACATTCAAATTCAGGAAATACAGAGAACACCACAAAGATACTCCTCGAGAAGAGCAACCCCAAGACACATAATCGTCAGATTCACCAAATGGAAAAAATGTTAGGGCAGCCAGAGAGAAAGGTCGGGTTACCCACAAAGAGAAGCCCATCAGACTAACAGCAGATCTCTCTGCAGAAACCCTACAAGCCAGAAGAGAGTGGGGGCCAATATTCAACATTGTTAAAGAAAAGAATTTTCAACCCAGAATTTCATAACCAGCCAAACCAAGCTTCATAAGCAAAGGAGAAATAAAATCCTGTACAGACAAGCAAATGCTGAAAGATTTTGTCACAACCAGACCTGCCTTACAAGAGCTCCTGAAGTAAGTCCTAAATATGGAAAGAAAAAACCAGTACCAGCCACTGCAAAAACATAACAAACTATAAAGTCCATGAACACTATGAAGAAACCGCATCAACTAATGGGCAAAATAATGAGCTAGCATCATAATGACAGGATCAAATTCACACATAACAATATTAACCTTAAATGTAAATGGGCTAAATGCCCCAATTGAAAGCCACAGACCGGCAAATTGGATAAAGAGTCAAGACCCCTTGGTGTGCTGTATTTAGGAGACCCATCTCACATGCAAAGACACACATAGGCTCAAAATAAAGGGATGGAAGAATATTTACCAAGCAAAAGGAAAGCAAAAAAAAAAAAAAAAAAGAAAGAAAAAAAGAAAAAAAGAAAGAGTTGCAATCTTAGTCTCTGATAAAACAGACTTCAAACCAACAAAGATCAAAAAAGACAAAGAAGGGCATTACATAATGGTAAAGGGATCAATGCTGCAAGAAGAGCTAACTATTCTAAATATATATGCACCCAATACAGGAGCACCCAGATTCAAAAAGCAAGCTTTTAGAGACTTACAAAGAGACTTAGACTCCCACACAATAATAGTGAGAGTCTTTAACACTCCACTATCAATATTAGATAGATCAACAAGACAGAAAATTAACAAGGATATTCAGGACTTGAACTCAGCGCTGGACCAAGCGGACCTAATAGACATCTACAGAACTCTCCACATGAAATCAACAAAATATACATTCTTCTCAGCACCTCATTGCACTTACTCTAAAAGTGACCACATAATTGAAAGTAAAACACTCCTCAGCAAATGCAAAAGAACGGAAATCATGACAAACAGTCTCTCAGACCACAGTGCAATCAAATTAGGACTCAAGATTAAGCAACTCACTCAAAACCCCACGCTACATGGAAACTGAACAACCTGCTCCTGAATGACTACTGGATAAATAATGAAATTAAGGCAGAAATAAATAAGTTCTTTGGAACCAATGAGAACAAAGACACAATGTACAAGAATCTCGGGAACACAGCTAAAGCAATGTTTAAAGGAAAATTTATAGCACTAAATGCCCACAGGAGGAAACAAGAAAGACCTAAAATTGACACCCTAACATCATAATTAAAAGAACTAGAGAAGCAAGAGCAAACAAATTCAAAAACTAGCAGAAGACAAGAAATAACTAAGATCGGAGCGGAACTGAAGGAGATAGAGACACGAAAAACCCATTAAAAAAATCAATGAATCATTACTACTTTCTACATTGCCATGATCTTGTCTTTCTTTCATCCACTTACTCCTTTCATCATCTTTGTTAAATTTCTTTCCTGCCCAACTTTAATATTAAAGCCAAACACATGAATAATAAATTGTTAGTAACAATGTAGAAGTCCCTATTTTCTTTTATCAACTAATTTTGCATTTACTTAACTTATTTTGCATATGTTTATTGAATTCTAAGTTTAATAGTTCAAGGATTTGTTGAGATTATAGAGAGAATCAATATGCGGTACCTGTCCTTGATAAGGTCAAACGACATATTCAAATACAATCTTGTTAAAATTATTACTATAGAACATCCTGTGTTTTATTATAATTATATGTGCTAAATATGTTTGAGTTATTATAGATGAAATTATTTTTTTCTTCCCACCATAATCAAGGAAAGCTTCATAGAATAGAGACCAATTGGTCTTAGCTTTGAGGAATAAGTAAAAATTTATCAGATTAAGAAATTTCCAAAGGAATAAGAGGAAAACAGAACTAAAAATGAGATAACAAAAGTCATAGAAAGTCATAAACTCATGGGCTCTTGAGAGACCAGAGATTAAAGCACATTAAATGCCCTGCTGATGCGTATGGAACTTATCCAGAAAAAAATGGGAGTTCACAAAGGTTGTAAATGCAGGGTATGTCTGTGTTCTTAAATATTTTTAGCTAAAGCAGCCACTACTGAATAGCTGTGTGTCATAAAGAAGCATATAAATACTAGAAAAAAATAAATATTTTTATGTCAGTGACCTGAAATTCACTCTACTCTTTTGAATTAAATTTTTGAGTACTTGAGGGAAGAATAACATGTTAATTTATTCACAGTTAATGACATGAATTAATAAATCGGAATAGATATCTGAACAAAAGCTTTCATGAAAAGAATGTAGAAGATATTATTTTCAGTGAAAAGAAATAAACATCTACACAACAGAGAATGTTACTTAGAAGAACATATATAGGGAAAGCACCACTGAAATGTCCAGGCCAGGAATACTGGCTCCAGGCAACTAGAAAAAGTACACTTTTGTGAGGTCTATAATGTATCTGTCACTGTCTCAACAGAAAAACAGTGGCCAACTTAAAAGGTCATAAATAAAAATAATTTAATGAATGGCCTATGAATTGCTGTGGTTTGAATGATTTTGTCCCCTCCAGAATTAATGTTGCAACTTAATTCCCAGTGCAATAGTGTCGGGGGTGGTGTCACCTTTAGGGGGTGATTGAGTCATGAGCGCTCTACCCTCACGAATGGTATTAAGTTTCTTTATAAAAGGGCTTGGCAAGGGAAGTTTGCTCCTGTTTGCCTTTCCAACTTCTGCCATGCGAGGACACAGCACCCTCCCCTCTAGAGAATGCAGCGTTCAAGGCACCATCTTGTAAGCAGAAATCAGACACTAAACCTGCTGGCAACTTGATCTTGGACTTCCAGCCTCCAAAACTGTGAGAAATAAATTTCCGTTCTACATAAATCACCCAGTCTCAGGTATTCTGTTACAGCAGTACAAAATGGGCTAACATATAATCCTAGAGATTAAGGGAATAAATATCAAATGAGGAAAACTGATTCCAGTTCTAAACTTGAAAGGGAAAATGGAGTAATGATATTGCTAGAGCCCAGAGAAAGCTAGAGCCATGGGAGCAGGGCTGCAGCAGGAGCTGGAGCTTTGGAATGCAGCCATAGTGTTGCAGCAGGAAGGGAGCTAGTAGCAGAGCATAAATATACAGTCTCTTAGTCTCTTTTCTTTCCCACATTTTGATCTCCCTGCTCATGTCTCCCACAGGCAAAATTCATCCAGAAATCAAGAACAAAAGAGCCTGGGTGGCCAGTCTACAGAGGCCAACTTTCAGGAAAAAGAATCAGGGCAAAGAAGGGCAGCAAGAACTGGAAAGTCGAGTGAAGAATTCAGCAGCAAAGAGGAGAGGAAAGGGGGACAATGAGAATGGGGACATGAAGGAGGAGTGAAGGGCACTACAACCAAATCTTGATAAGTATTGGCCCTTAGCACAGACTGAACATAGGTTGAAAAGGAGAAGGTATTTTTCCTCTTGGGTATTTATGAAATACAAGCAGATTAATACACTTGTTTGGATTGTCATTTGCTTATTTAGATAAATTACTTCTTTTGTGTATTAATAATATTCATAATAACAACATAAAAATAACTTTACAACATTTTCATTTTTAGCCTAAATGTTACTCATTTCTCAAAATGGTTTTGTAATTTAGTAAAAAGACATGTAAATTTCAACTTACAGATCATCGTGATTTTACTTACAGTCTCAGTTCTTCAAATAAAAACTGTAATTTTCAAAACGAACAAACCTAATGCATTCTAGTAATTCTTTTGGTTATTCTGTTATGCTTTATTAATGTTCCCAGATAAATCAGATAATATGTTATTATTTTAACCAAGTACACAATATAAAAACAATTCAGGTAAATATTGTTCTTATTTAGTACCAGGTGACAGACAAGTTTATGTAACTCTGGAACTAGTTATTTATGCTTATAAAATATTTTAATGCAGAAGCAATTAAATTATTAGTCAATCTGTTCATTAATTCACCAGTTCAAAAAATAATTACTCCATAACTATGATGGGTGAGTACTAATTGCTAATTAAGATATCTCTCCCTCTCCTCTCTTCTGTCTACCTTCGTGTCTATCTCTATCACTAGCTCTAGCTCTAGTTTTAATTTATCTCTACATATAAATACCCTAATTGTAGTGGCTTAAAATATTAAGTATATAACATATACATGTAGAACATAAAATAATCTTTAAATGCAAGTTAAAAGTGAAACAAAATAAAAACCTAATATAATAAAAGCTATGTCTTTGATGAAAATGAAACAAAATGCTATGAGTATGATGTCCTGAAGTTACTTTTTGTCCTTTTGTCTTTCACAGCCTTGCTAATATCTATGAAAAATTATTTTTCCCATGTATTAGGTGAAAAGCCTTGAGGTCATCTTCGATGCCTCCTACTGATAACCCCACATCCAGGCCAACCACAAATTATTTCAGCTCTGCGTTTAAAACATATTCAGAATTCAACTACTCCCTCCTCCACCTCATAGCTACCACTCTGGTAAAAGTCACCATCATCTCTCACCTAGATTATTGTAACAGCTTCCCAGGTAGCATCACTGCTTCTTTTCCTGTACCACATTTAGTTTATTATAAACTATTATAATATGTTATAAGTTTATTCAGATTATGTCATTTCATTGCTCAAAAATTTCTAGTTGCTTCCTATCTACTTAGAGGAAAAAACAAATTCCTCACTCTCACCTACAAAACCCTGCATGACTAGGCTCTCTTCACTCTTGTTTTATCTTCCCCATCTCCTTTCCTCTTAAAAAAAAAAAAGTTTTCCTTTTTAAACAATGCTCCAGGCAAAATAGCTTCCCTGATGTTACCTTGAATGCTCATGCTCCTATCTCAGCTCATTTGAACTTACTTTGTCCTCTGCCTGCAATAATTTCAATCATTTGTATATCTATATGGCTAACTGCATCACTTTCTTGAAGTATTTAGTTGAAAGTCACCTTTCCTGTAGTTCTCTTCTGACCATCTATGAGAATTTTAAACTCCATGCCTACAACGTAGCAGCTTAAAACAGAAATGTATTATCTCTCATAATTCTGTGAGTTGACCGGGTTCAGGTGGGCAATTCTCATTGGGAATTTTTCACATGGTGTGTAGTCAAAAGTGTCAGCTGAGAGCTGCAACCATCTGAAAGTTTGAATAGGCTGGACATTTGAGGCTGACATGTTAAGGACAGAGCTGAATCTGGCAGTTGAGGCTGGCTAGTGTCTAGACGTTCAGCTGAGCTCTTGATCAAGGTCTTTATGTCTTCTCCATGTGATTTGGGCATTTTACAGCATTGTTTCTTTTAAAGTTGCTTTTGGGACCTAGTAGAGAATGAACATTTGATCATGAAATATCAATGGGTTACACAAATTGAGCTACTTATCATAAACTCTATGTTGCATACAAAGATAAATGCCCTTACAGAAGAACTAATGTAGAAACATATTCCAAGGAAACTCTTGGAGTCAGGATCTGTAGCAGCTGCACATGTCTCTGATTTCCCACTTATTCTAGGGCATGATCTAACAGGGTCATGCATCCATATTCATTAAAGGGATCTCAACTCTGAAAATGTGGAACTTTATACAAGATGAATGGAAAACACCAGACCCTCCCAAGTTATAGTCAGCTTTAAAATACAGATCAAGAATAAAATAGCAATATTTTGTGGCATAACCATGGTTCTAGCCCTTTCAGGTCACTATTTGTGGCTAAAGGGTAGAGTAACTAGCCCTTTCTTCAGCATAATAGGAAGGAGCTGGGTCCAACCTTTGCAATTCATTAAGATATTCCTTGGCTGACTTCCATGAAGCTTTGAAGGAAGCCAACAACTTCTCAGGGAGGCCAACCATCAAGTGGACCATCAGTCTTGGACAAATTAAACTTTATCTCTCAAATAGGTGTTGCCTGAGCCTTTGTTCCATAAGTAAGCCCAGTCTCAAACAGGTCTGAGAGGTGTGAATTATATGCCTTCCTCTTCCTTATTCTTACTCCGTTGTTATCTTTCTTTCAGCTCCTATCTGTGTCTTCATGGGGAGTTCCCTGAATTATTCGAGTAATGCTAGCTGCAATAAAATAAAACCCAAAATTTGAGAGTTTAACATAATAGAAATGTATTTCTCACTCTTGTAAAGTACAAAATAGCTATTTATGATTGAATAGTTCTCTCCACCAAGCAGGGACACTTGTTCTTTCCATTTTCAATATGTTGCTCTGCCTCTTCAATATGTGGCTGTCAATGCCACTGTGGGAAAGAAGAATACTTGTGGAATGACTCAGAGTTTCTTTATCGAACTGGTCTCCGTGTAGCACACATAAGTTTTATCTGCACTCTACTGACCAGAATTCTGTCATCTGCCCATACTTAACTTTGAGGAAGACGAAAAAAGAGGGCCTAAATGTACATTTATGAGGGAGAGAATATAGGTTTTGTGATTAATGAACATTCTCCGCCATGTTTCCCTCTGACTAGTTATCTGACAACAGGGAATAAAGAACAACAAAAAGCATAAAAACAACAGTAATAACACAAAAAATACTTTAGTTTTTTCACAGATATCCTTGAATTACAGATGACACTGACTGGCAGTGGATGGCTGTGCTGTTACAGAATCATTCAGGGTGCCCCCCAAAGATATAGAAGAAGTGACATTCTCTTAGGGATAATAACCTGGAGGTGATACATCTTTTATTCACCAGAAGGAAAGATAACATGTAGGGAATATCAAGAGGGATAAACAATTTAATTCAATAAATAAAGAAGTAGAAAAAAGTGGAGAACTTGTAAAATAGGCATTTCTAAAAGAAATGTATGCTTATATATCTCAACATGACCCATATTTGCCAGTAGTTCCTGTTCCCTGAGATAGCCATTTAATAGATGACCTAGCATGTCTTACACCATGGACAGTCCAGTCAATCTTTTTTCTCCAGCCATGACAATGCTTACTCTAACTTCTCATGAACAGAATTGCAAAGACGGAGGGATGAAGTCTTTACAAGGCTCAATAACATGTACTTCCTTTTAATTTGCCACAACAGCCGGGCTCACCACTATGCTGGTGGCAGATTGATTACCTAAACTACTTCTCTAATGAATGGATAGGACGGAAATTATTATTCACTGAAATATACAAAGTAATGATTCATATTTGCTTTCCTTCACCGTCAAGCTTCTGCCCTCATCACCATATGCAGAATTTCTAATTACTTTACTCATAGTCATAGTATCCCACATAGCATTGCTTCTCAATAAGGAAGTCTTTTTAGGGATAATTAATTAAGGTGATGTGTTGATTCTTAAGGGTTTTACCATGTTTTCCATAACCTGAATACAGCTATCCTTGTAGAATACATGGAATGATCTACTGAAAATCAACTTATGATGTTCATTGTTAAAAATAAGATCTTATGAGATGGGGATGTGATCCAACAGGATGCAGTATAAACTTTGAACAAGTGGCCATTATATTTATATAATATAATCTTTCACTATTATACCTAATGTACTACTAGCAAATGTCTACTTCCTGTCTATGCTGAATTCAGATGTTTTAGAGTTTTTAGCATTTGAGAGAGAAAACTTCCACAAGGGGTAACAACATTTTCATTGAATTCCAAGTTATGATGTTATTCTGCCATTTGGGGGCTTTTCATACCACTGGACCGGCAAGAAAGGGAAGATTTTTTAGCTGCAGTGATGATCGTAATTATTCAGAGGAAATAGTTTCTACTGTATGGGATATGGAAGCCCAGGGATGTTCTAGAACACTTTCTACTACTCTCATGTCCAGCAAATTCTCAACTTTCTTTTTTCTTAACTAAATTTCTTCTTCTGAGAAGAAACTCAGAGAACTCAGTACTTTTATATATAAAGAACCTTAACTTAGATGCAAGCTGAGGAATAGATAATAAAGAAAGAAACCTATAAACATAATTGATAAGTCAGATAAAGAGTTGCAGAGCCAAGAACTATTGTAGTTAATCATATTTTCTCCCCTAATTGTTCTATGTATATGTACTTAACTGTTCTCCTTGCTCAATTTTTCTTCTTTTTCCTACTGAAAAATAAGCTGACTTATTGATAGTTCAGTTAATTAAGTCCATGTATTGTATGCTTGCAAGACAGGGTTGAATATGAACTAGAGATACAATGAAAACAACCAGATATGAAAGCAGTGACTTGGTAAGACATAAGATTCCCCTTTTGGAAAGAGTTACCATGTCTTACCTTATGCATGTATAGTTGTACTATGGGAAGCTGGGGCATGATGATTGTATTACTCTGTTTTCTTGCTGCTGATAAAGACATACCTGAGACTGGGAAATTTATAAAAGAAAGAGGTTTAATGGACTTACAGTTCCACATGGTTGGGGAGGCCTCACAATCACGGTGGAAGGCAAAGAGAAGCAAGTCACAACTTAACGTGGATGGCAGCAGACAAAGAGAGAGCTCTTGTGGGGAAACTCCTGTTTTTAAAACCATCAGATCTCATAAGACTTATTCACTATCACGAGAACAGCACGGGAAAGATCTGCTCTCATGATTCAACTACCTCCCACCAGGTTTCTCCCACAACACGTGGGAATTGTGGGAGTTACAATTCAAGATGATTTTGCTATTCTATTGTCTAGAGAAGTATGCATATAAATACTGAGGAGTCAAAAGAGTGGATTATAAACTATACTTCAAATTGTCTCATTCAATACCATTTTAGGACCTCAGATAAGACAGATACAAGATTTTTCAGATTCTTTGTAGCCAGAATTTCACATGCGATTTAGCTTGTTCCAAGCAAATATTTCTCCAAGACAATATACATAAGACTTGGAACTGAAGTTGACATGTCCAGGGGTATTTGTTCTTTTATGGCCATGGGGATGTACTGTTGGTTCTTAGTTTCATTGATTGGTAGGAGAATACTGTCTGTGGGAACAGCTCCACAGTTTGGGTAGTCATTGTGCTGGCTGTATGTTCTCCAAACTTATTTTCTACATACACATCCTCCAAATTCTGTGAGCTACCTTATACTTTATAGATTATACATTAGACATTATAGATTGCTTAGTCATATGTAACAAAAGTACAAAGAATAGCATGGAAGTAATCACCAATACAGAATATAGGGTATTTTAGGAATGGAGAAAGAGAAATGTGATAAGAAAGTGGTAAATACGATCTTTGACTAAATTGACACATGCTGTACTTATTGAGCTGCATACTGTTTATGTCTATTGCAACATTTGAGCAACATCAGAGTGAAGTATAATATAAGGACAAACCTAGTAAACACAGAGCATTCCAGGAAGAAGAAACAGTAGGGATCAGAGATAGCAGGAATCATGCTTGTTCAATTTAAGAACAACTTTGAAGCCTGTGTGGCTGGCATGTACTAAACTAGAAAACAAAGTCAAACCAAAAGGCCAGATCACATAGGGTCTGTGGGTCAAAACAAAGCCTTTTAGATTAATGCATAGTGTAATGAAAACCCACTTCAGTATTTTCAACAGAGGAGCTTCTTGAGCTGACATTCGTTTTTAATGATCACTTTGCAATGGTGTGGAGAATATTACAGGGAGCCCTGTGGAAGGCAGTAGCAGTATTCCAAACTAGAGATGATGGTAGCTTGGAGTTGGGTGATGGCTGTGGAGATGGTAAGAGTTGGGTAAATTCCTGTATATTTTGAAGATATTCCTCACAGAAAATGGCACTCAAACTAAAGGGAAATAAATGGTTTAGTCAAAATACAGGATTGGAATATTGAGATATTCCCTACCTTGAGAGAGGATAAAATTTAAACCAAAGCAAATTGTAGATGGATTAAAAATTCAACGCAACCCCTATCAAAATACCAACAATGTTCTTCACAGAAACAGAAAAACATGATCCTGAAATTTATATAGAACACAAAAAACACAGAGTAGACAAAGCAATCCCAAGTAAAAGTAACAAAGCTAGAGGCATCACATTACCTGACTTCAAATTATACTACAAAATTATAGTAGCTATGACAAAATGGTACTGGTGTAAAAACAAACATATAGACCAATGGGATAGAATGGAAAACCCATCAGTAAATCTGCACATTTACAGTTGACATGTTTTCAAAAAAAGTTGCCAAGAACATACATTGGAGAAAGGAGAGTTTCTTCAATAAATGGTGCTGGGAAAAGTGAATATCCATATGCAAACTAGACTCCTATCTCTCACCATATACAAAAATCAACTCAAAATGGATTAAAGACTTAAATCTAAGACCTGAAGCTATGAAGCTGCTAGATGAAAACATTGGGAAAGGATTCCAGGACATTGGTTTGGGCAAATATTTTTTGAGTAAGACCTCAAAATGATAGGCAACCAAAGCAAACATGAACAAATGGGATCACATCAAGTTTAAAGGTTTCTGCATAGCAAATGAAATCCTCAACAATGTGAAAAGACAACTCACACACAGAATGGTAAAAAACATTTGTAAACTACTCATCTGACAAGGGATTATTAACCAGAACATGTAAGGAACTGAAACAATTCAACAGAAACAAAAATCTGATTAAAAAATGGGAAAATGATCTGAATAGACATTTGTCAAAAAGGAAAACCATACAAACAGCCAACAGGTATATTTTTTAAATTCTCAACTTTACCAATCTTCAGAGAAATGCAAATTAAAACTATAATGAGACATAATCTCATCTCAGTTGAAATGGCTTTCATCCAAAAGACAAGCAATAACAAATGTTGGAGAGAATGTGGAGAAAAGGGAACCCCTCCACAATGTTGGTGAGAATGTAAATTAGTACAGCCATTAAGTAGAACAGTATGAAGGTTCCTCACAAAAGTAAAATTAGAACTACCATATGATCCAGCAACCCCATTGCTGGGTATATATTTAAATAAAAGGAAATTAGTATGCTGAGGCGGTATCTGCACTCCTGTGTTCACTGCAGTACTATTCAAAACAGCCAGGATATGGATCCAACTTATGTGTCTCTAAATGGATGAATGAATTAAAAAAGTGGTAAACATACACAATGGAATATTATTAAGACATAAAAAGAATACAATCATGTCATATACAACAAAATGGATGGACTGAAGGATTTATGTTAAGTAAAATAAACCAAGTACTGAAAGGTAAACATTGCATATTCTCACTAACATGTGGGACCTAAAAAAAAATTGAACTAATGGAGCTAAAGAGTAGAATGATTTTTATCAGAGGCTAGGAAGAGGAGTAAGGAGGGGAGAATAGAAAGCGGTTGGTTAATGGGTACAAAAATACATTCAGATAGACTAAATAAGATCTAGCATTCACTAGCACCATATGGCAACTATAATTAAAAATAATTTATTGTGTATTTCAAAATAACTAAAAGAGTAGATTGGAACATTCCTAGCATAAATAAATGATAAATTCTTAAGGTGATGGATACCTCAGTCACTCTAATTTGATTATTATATTGTATGCTTGCATCAAATTATCTTGTGTACTCTATAATATGTGCAAGTTATGTACCCATAATAATTAAAAATTTTAAAATAAAAAATAAAAGATTAGAATACAAAACAGAAAATTATAAAACAACACTGAAGATAATATGGTTGCATAAATAACTGATTTGGGGTCACAGAAAAACTTTCTGAGAAGAAATACAATAATAAAGGAAAAGATTATCACAGAGAAAATACTTAAAGTAAGAGTCAAATGCCAAATTTGTGAAAACATCTGCAAAACTTGAAATGTTAATGTGCCTAGTTACAGAAATCAGTTCTGATTTACCTGCTGAACCCCCCCACCCCCCACTGTACCAATTCCCTTGCTTTAATGATTGATCTGTATTGATCTGGCCATCGTTTTTCTCTGTCCGCTTTATTTTCCTCCTTACCATTATTTAACTCTGTATTTAGCAAAGAAACCATGCTCTATTATTTTAATTATTACCTCATAAATGTTTTCAACTCTCTCACTTGCTTTTTTTTTCTTTTCATGTTAATTCCATGGCACAACCATAACCTTAGAAAATCCAACCAATTACATGTCTTCAATTCATCAGTTGAGCATTTCTGGAGAAAATCACTCACACGTTAGGATAGATATAGCTCATTTTCATCACCACCCACAATAAATAATCATGCAATAGTATATACCATTATGCAGCTCATTCTTCAATTAGCAATGTAGTAACAACATTCATAAAAGTCAATAAATCCAAGCATATGGATATAGGGCAGTATGAAGCAATTAACAAATCCACTATCCTAGCCATATGTTTTGATTCCAGTTTTCAGCTGTTGTTAAGAGGAAGGTGATGAGAAATCATGTATCGCTAAGTATTACTTCAGCAAAAATCCTTAGAATCGTGGAAATATGGGTCCAAGAGCATAAAATTTTTAAGGCTTCTTCTGAATTTCACAGTTTTATTCTCTTTCACAGAGGTGAGCAAGACTTCCCATATTACTTTTTGAGATGACTTCCTAATTTATAGATAAAAAATGCTGTTATCTCAAGTTACATTGCATTATCTCAATTACTAATTATGTTTAATATTTTGCACGCTTACTTATACTATTTTAATTTGATAGTTTTTAATTAACAAATATTGCCTGATTTCTATTGCTTTGCTTACTTCAATAAGGATGAGAATTTTCAAGTATGGAGAATGCTAAAAACATTGAGAAAAGATGTGATTATTGCTTCTCTCATACATGTATCTACTTTACAAATTTTTCTGCTAAAATATTTTACTTATAATTAGAAAAAATACTATTTAAGAAGAAATTCATTAGGGTTTCTTATATAAACAAAACATTCTTTTGCAACTTAGTTTTTGGTGTTGCTATTACTAAAAATTTTGAAGATGAATTGAAAAATTAACCATTTAAAAAAGAGCAATTGCTAAAACATAGTGAAGGTTTTTATATAAACTATAAAAATATAATCCTTGTACAAAATTCAAATTATTTAGATGTTATGACTATGTCTTGCATACAGTAAAGTAGGTCCCTTATATTTAAAGATATTGGTATTTAAAAATTAAAATAACATATATCTATTACTTCCTACTTATATATGAATTCATATATATATATATATATATATATATATATATATATATATATATATATGGCTTAATTAAACTTGAAGGTTCTAAGAAACAAGAATGAAAATGAACTCATAGAAGAAAGTTCACTAAGCAAGTAAGCAAAAAAAGTGCTTAGCCTCAACTTAGAATTGCAAAAAGAATAGAAAGGAATATGTACTTTCCACCTTTGCTCAGGTTCTATCTCTTAGTAATGTCATATAATCCTTGGAAACAGCCTGACAGGATTACGCAACACAAGTTCCCTCAAGTATTATTTCATTGCTCTTTGGGGTAACCAAACCTTACAGACTGTCAGCCAGCACTACGGTTTAAAAAGGACATTCCACAGTGAGTTAGAAGCTTGCTCTGACTTCACTATTTTATTCTGGGCCTTCTGAATGGGCTGTCAGTTTGAAGGTTACTAGACTTGGAGATAATTTAGACTATAATACAAAGCATGTCAGATAAATAAAACCTCTTAAAATTTCACTTTCCTCTAAAACTTGAGATATTGTTACCAAATTAGATTCAATATTGTGACTTGTGTGTTTACTAAACATACATAAATAAATATATGTTTTCATTAACACACAGACATATATATGGTTTGTCTATTAACACTATAGTTGCTTTATAAATGTATTGCATTTGTAAATGTTTTGGTTCTCCCATTTTTTATTCTAAATCTCAGCAATTCATATGTTGACACCTGGCAGATATGGTTAGTTTTTAGAGTGACAAACATTTAGTAGCTAGGAGAGCTGGCCCTTCCTAAAGTCTGCTAAAACTTATCATTGACAGATTTTGCTTTGTCAATCATAAACCAGACACAGTCCCAGAATTCATTATCCATTGTACCATTCTAAAGAGATTGCTATTTTTTGTAGCATAGTCCTAAAATGACTCGATGCACTCATTTTAAAATCTTTTTTAAAAATATCACAACAAAAACCAGATCCTAGAAGTATGGAAAATGATTTAAAGATTTACTTGTAACTATCAAATGTATTCTCCAAGTAGGAATACTTTAAGTAAATGAAACAAAGGCAATTTATATTGTCCAAAAGCATGAAGAAAATCTCTGACCTAGATTATACAAATTTTTGGTTTTGGAGAACATTACAGATTTTATTTTCTCCCTAGCAAATATATTTTCCAATTACATCTTTAGGCTACTACTAATATAAATTTGCATCCTTTAGCATACCTGGTTATTGAAAGGGCTAGACAGATGGGAGGGACACACAGACAATTTTTCATTTTCCACTTCTTTCTTTCCTTCTCTAATCTCTCTTATCTTCAAAACTTTCCTTAATCTTTTTCACTCTGTTTATACCCCTTTGCTTTCTTTTTTCATGTTCAGTCTTTTATTCCTCTTTCATTCATTTATGTAAATATTTTCTACTTTATCTGGGGAAAATCTTTCTACCTTCTGACAAAATCTCAACCTTTGGTCCTTTTCGGTCAAACTGTTTTCTGTGCTTTATTAACAGTTTAGTGTCACACTGATCAACTTTGAGGGTGACATGTAGCATGAATCTAATAACAGTAGTGAATACTTTAAATAGTGAATGAACACTATCTATTAGAATGCAAGTTGCATGAGAGTAGGGATTTTTTTTTATTAAAAGTATATTCCTGGGCCAGGCGCAGTGGCTCAAGCCTGTAATCCCAGCACTTTGGGAGGCCAAGATGGGTGGATCACAAGGTCAGGAGTTGGAGACCATCCTGGCCAACATAGTGAAACCTCATCTCTACCAAAAATACAAAAATTAGCAAGCTGTCGTGGCGCTCACCTATAGTCCTAGCTACTGGAGAGCCTGAGGCATGAGAATCCCTTGAACCTGGGAGGCGGAGGTTGCAGTAAGCCAAGATCGTGCCACTGCACAGTGTGGCCGACAGAGGGAGACTCTGTCTCAAAAAAAAAAAAAAAGCATATTCCTAATGTTTTAAAAGTTCCTAAGGTATGTAGAAAAAATCAGAAGAGTAGGAGAAAAGGAGTTTCAGATTTTGTTTGTTTAAAACAGTCCTGGATTGGGTCTTTTGATGATGCCAGGTTTCCATTAAGGGACCAGGGAAGTACAATGTTGACAAATGTGATACATGCTGTAGTAGAATCGTGTGCAGGGGATGAATGGGTGTCCTGGCATGGGAACTCTTAAATCTGTCTAAAATAATGAGAAAGATGTCACAGGGAAAATAATATGTGAGTTGCATCTTGAAACGTGAATAGAAATTCATTGGCTATAGAAGGGAGAGGGGCATACCAAGAAAGGAAAAAGCAAATACATTATGGAATATTGGATAAGATTTTTCCTGATGCTCGAGGATTAGTAAATAGCACTCTCATTCTCTATTACCAAAGTTCACTGAATTCCAGCAGAGAAGACCTGCTATAATCTTCTTTTCCTTGCTCACTTCCAATTATATGAGGAAAGGGTGAGATTATGTGGCTATGGTGGTAAAAGTCACTGAGTTTTTAGATGGGTGGCAATGAAGCTTCTTGTATTCTCCATCTTGAAGATGTGGGAATGTGAGAGATTCTCAGGAAGAGTAGAAGCTGTGGAAGGAACCCACCAACATTCTCCAGATAGCAAAATGAGTTTGCAATCTACACGGAGAATTGCAAACTTCAATCCACTGAAGTATAGAAACATGACTTCTCCCATCCCAAAATCTTCCTTTGTCCCATCCCAAAATCTTCCTTTCTCCCTATCCTCAAATATGGGGATGTGGAATCTAGAAGAAGAAAGAAAGCAAAGCAGTAAAAGAGCTGAATACTCCACTTTTCCAAGCAGAAGTTTGGTTTGCATTGAGTTTGGAGACCACTTTGGAATAGAATATAAGTTTAGAGATTAAACAGGAATGAATGAATTTTAAATGCAGAAAGTGACTGTGTATTTATATAATCTGACCAAAACAGCATGCTACTGATACAAAAGCAGACACATAGGCCAATGGAACAGACTACAGAACCTAGAAATAAGACTGCACACCTACAACCATCTCATCTTCAACAAACCTGACAAAAACAAACAAAGTGGGAAGGATTCTCTATGCAATAAATGATGTTGGGGTAACTGGCTAGCCATATGCAAAAGATTAAAACTGAACCCCTTCCTTACACCACATACATAAATTAACTCAAAATGGATTAAAGGCTTAAATGGAAAACCCAAAACTATAAAAACTCTGGAAGGCAACCTAGGCAGTATGATTTAGGGCATAGGCATGGGCAAAAATTTCATGATGAAGATGGCAAAAGCAATTGCAACAAAAACAAAAACTGACAAATGGGATCTAATTAAACTTAGAGCTTCTAGACAGCAAATGAAACTATCAAGAGGGTAAACAGATAACCTACATAATGGGAGAAAATTTTTACAAACTATGCACCTGACAAAGATCTAATGTCCAGAATCTATAACAAACTTAAACAAATTTACAAGGAAGACAACCAAACAACCCCGTTAAAAAGTAGGCAAAGGACATGAACAGACACTTTTTAAAAGAAGACATACATGTGACCAACAATCATATGAAAAAAAGCTCAAAGTCATTGATCATAACAGAAATGCAAATCAAAACCACAAGGAGATACCATCTCACACCAGTTAGAATGGCTATTAAAAAGTAAAAAAATAACAGATGCTGGAGAGTTTGTGGAGAAAAGGCAGCACTTATATACTGTTTATGAGAGTGTAAACTAGTTCAGCCATTGTTGAAAACAGTGTGGTGATTCCTCAAAGACCTAAAGACAGAAATAACATTCAACCTAGCAATCCCATCTCTGGGTATATACCCAGAGAAATATAAATAATTCTATTATAAAGACACATGCATATGTATGTTCATTGCAGCACTACTCACAATAGCAAAGGCATGGAATCAACCTAAACGCCCATCAATGATAGACTGCATAAAGAAAATGTGGGACATATACACCATGGAACACTATTCAGCCATAAAAAAGAATGAGTTCATGTCATTTTCAGGGACATGGATGGAGCTGAAGGCCATTATCCTTAGTGAACTAATGCAGAAACAGGAAATCAAATACTGCATGTTTTCACTTATAAGTGGGAACTAAATGATGCGAACACATGGACAAATGGGGGGAACAACACAAACTGGGGCCTATCAAAGGGTGGAGGGTGGGAGGAGGGAGAGGATCCAGGAAAAATAACTAATGGGTACTATGCTTGGTACCTGGGTGAATAATCTGTACAACAAACCCCCATGACATAAGTTTACCTATGTAGCAAACCTGTACATATACCACTGAACTTGAAAGAAGAGTTAAAAGAAAAGAAAGTGAAATTTGACCTATTTTAATTCAGGGCAAAGATTAGAAGAAACATAAACTGGCCACAGTCATACTCTAATTAATTGAAATTACTCCAAAACTGGTATGTTAAATATGACATAACAAAGCAAAAAGGTAAAGATAGGACTAGAGCAGGCCCATTCCAAAGACAGTAAATACTTTGAAATGACTAGAAATCAGAGGATATCCTTGAGAATCCTGAGAGATGAACCAAGAAAGTTGGACAAGACCTTTTATTCTATCTTTGGAATTTGAATTTTATTTTTTGGTGGAGAGTTCCTGAAAGGTGTTAAGTGTGCAAGTAATATGATCAGATTTCACTTTAAAAATATGTAATGTCTGATAAATTTATTTTCACTAGTGTGAGAAACACAAATTTACCCACCCAAACCCAAATAATGGACTTGGAGACATGAAGAACAGCACAAGTGAGACTTTAATGGCGGTCTTGCAAGATCCGGTGTCTGGTAGGCAGGCACACCTGGGCCAGTTACAGTGTGTAATTTATCTCATAGCATGTAAGTCCCTCCCCTAGTTCGTCACTGGTGGAGTTCTTTGGGGTTACAATCTTCCCAGACGTCGCCTACGTTTCACTATCCCCACTATAAAGTTATACCCCGGTCCCCTTCCCTGCTTAACTTTGAATTTCCCAATAACAAAACTTTCTTGCCTTTAATGGGCTGACCCCTCCTCTACATTCTGCTCACTTTTCGTGACCTTCTAGGTGCATGAGCCATGAGGTTTCTTACATCCGCTAGCTGGCTGCCAGTACTTAGATTTATCATGCCTTAAAAATTGACCATTTAAAATTTTTTTTCATAATCAGCCAATTTGGAACCTGAATTAAATTTTAGAAGGAGGGAAAGGAGCCTAAAAGTTAACTGTTGGGTACTAGGCTTCATACCTGGGTGATGAAATGATATGTACAACAAATATTTCTGACACATGCTTACCTGTGTCACAAACCTTCACATGCAGCACCAAACCTAAAATAAAATTTAAAAAAATTTAGGAATGTATATTGTGTGAGATACATTAATCATGATATCTATTAAGAAAATAGATATCATACAGCTTATGCAAAAATGAACAAGGAATTAGAAACTTAGTGCCTTTTAAGACTTTTCAGAGTAAACATCAGGAGAATAATGGAATTTTTTAAGGTAGAAATAAATACAAAGCAGGTAAAGGAAACAGGATATAATAACACTTACTTTGGAGCAAATAACCTATGTAATTTACCAGAAATTAGAAGGCATATAGGTAAGATAAATATAACATTTATTGTCCAAAATGGGGGAACTTTTGAGAAAAAAAAAAGGAAAATCAATAATTATGCTGAGGAAACATGGAAACTAGACCTATTCTTAGACAGCTGGATGTCTGGTCACTACATATAAGAGCCAAGCAAACATAATAAAGATGACTGTTAAGTTTGTACTACAGCAATGTGGAACCAGTGTTTTGTTTTCTACCAAAACAACACTTGGCTAAAACTAATGATGTATGAGAACTTAAAGATATAAAGAAACCAATTCAGTATTCTCCATTAAAATCTAAGAAGGCCAGAAAGGCCTGAATAATCATAACACTGAGAAATCAAGAAAAGATGGGCCAGGCACGGTGGCTCATGCCTGCAACCCCAGCACTTTGGGAGGCTGAGGCAGGAGGACTGCTTGAGCCCAGGAGTTTAAGATTGAGACCAGCGTGGGCAACATAGCAACATAGCAAGACCTCATCATTCTCATCGTTAGACATACACAAACACACACACACACACACACACACACACACACACACAAATACAAATTCTGTGGCTAGTAAAATTGTGGTGGAATCAAATAGAACTTAAGAATTATAACTTGAACTAAACTTGTATTGGTTGTGGATTTAAAGAAAAGGGGATGAATTGGGGAGATTTAATTGTTCAGTGTTGTATAATAATATGTGCTTTTGGAAACTGTAAGTTAAAGTTAAACATTTATTTACCTTTTCCCTTTTCTTATTCTTTGTTTTCTCTTCCTTAAGTTACAAGACTTCTCAAAGCCTTAATTCAGTAATGCACATTACTCTAAGTGGAGAATATATTCTTTCGAAATATTTTATTTCAAAATATATTTTTCTTAGTACTCTTATTATTACCTATAATGAGATTCCATAGAAAATATTTTTAATTGAAAAGGAAAATAAGGTACAAAAAGCAAAAAGATAGAATGGCAATCCCAAGTCACTAATTAGTTTGTGTCAAAGCAAGATTAGTTCTCAGGTAGTTCAAGATTTCAATTTTTTTTTTTTTTTTTTTTTTTTTGGTGTGGAGTCTCATTCTGTCACTCAGGGTGGAGTGCAGTGGCACGATCTTGGCTCACTGCAACCTCCGACTCCTGGGTTCAAGGGATTCTCCTGCTTCAGCCTCCTGAGTAGCTGGGATTACAGGAGCGTTCCACCACGCTTGGCCAATTTTTGTATTTTTAGTAGAGACAGGGTATCACCATGTTGGTCAGGCTGGTCTCAAACTCTTGACTTCGTGACCCTCCTGCATTGGATTCCCAAAGTTCTGGGATTACAGGCATGAGCCACCGTGCCTGGCTCAAGATTTCAATTTGATAGCACCCCCATTCCCCCTTTTTTGTAACACAGTTGAAGTCATAGAAGTGAATGAGAATATGAGAATACCAAGTAGAGTGATACAGGAGTGGAGAAGCCTACCGGCTAAATTATTGGGAAAGGGCACGTACTGGGAAGAAGAAAGTAATGTCTTAACACAAGGACTAATATAAAATCTAAGTGAGAAAAGTTTCAAGAAGGAATGTAGAATTAACTGAGTAAATCATTTTAGAAAACTAGACAAGAAGAAAAACTAATTAAAGGACATAACAGTAGGAGGTGTAGGAGTGGATAAAATTTATAGTTAGTATAGAAGAATTCATAGCATGGTCAAGTGAAGGTTCAGAAGATGGATAAAAAATTAGAGAGTGGGTGGAGGTCATATACACTAATATCAAATATTATTTTTATAACCCAATGGTAACTAATAGTCGATGACTCTTTAGGAAGGGTCAAGCAAGGCAAACAAACACACTAGGAACTTGTCCTGATATAACCCAAATATTAAATATATGTAGCATCCTATATATGCATGAATTCAATTAATATATGAAATATATATGTCATTTATGGGATTGTGTATACACATTTATGCATATACACAATCATCACCAACTTGGAAATTGTGTATGTGTATATATACACAGATTATCTATGTGTATGTGTATGTGTATCTATCTATATATATACATAATTTTAAAGAAACACTTTTTCTAGTTTTCAAAATGAGTATTATGAATATATTTGTAGACATATGTAGAAGAATAAGTATAGAGAAAAAATAAAAATGCGTGCAGTAGGAATTAACTATCCATACAAAGATCCAGCAAAAGTAATAGGCAATTTAATCAAGAACATAGCAAATATTAAGACAGAAAGGAATTATGAATTTCAACAAGCAGCAGTAAGAAATGGCTGAGATGGGACTAGGAAGAAAGTGAAGCTTGATTAAAATTTAACAGTATAATTCAAAAAGTTATTCATCATTGTTGAATAATTAATTTTTTATGAATGAAACATATTATGGAAAATTAAAAACATCTTAAGCAAAAAGTGACATTTCTATAATTAATAATTAAAATAAATGTAATAATGATAGATAATCCAATTATGTGTATTCAGTAAAATATTAATATATTAAGTTAATCTAGAAATATCTGCCATTAAATTTGTCTCTTTCTTTATTTTAAATCCCATTACCTATGTTATAAATATATTACACAAAGTATTCTTACTATTTTTCATAATAGTCTAATATTTCTGTATTCATACTCATTTAGATTCCTCCAAAACTCTTAAATTTTCTAACCTGTCTAAGATCTACAATTTTGTTCATATAATTTAAAGTTGTCTAGGAATAGGCAACATAATCTAAACATAGTCTTTTCATTTACAAATCAGGACTATATTCAGTATTACAATTTATTTTCTAATACATAAGTAATGACAAAATAGATTGGTTGAATTAATATCAGTGATGCATTGTCATATCATAAGTTTCAAAAGAGCAAAATAAGAAAATTTTCTGTCAGTGCCAGGCTGGAAAAAAACAATATACGTCGTGTTGGTCTGTCTCAGGCATACTTCCAGTCAATGAATACAGAGAAAATTATATCCATTATAAGGTAGAATTAACTTTTCCAGGCATTCCTGGTGTTTATTACATGAAATAGAGCTCTAATGTCCTATTCACTGCTTACCTGAAAAATAATTCATTTTAAATTAACATATCACACTTGTCTTTTCCTTGGATCAATTTCCTATTAGTATAATTTATTTTATTTATAGACTACCATTAATAGAGTGAACTCTTATTCTGAACTGAAGATTCACACTGTAATTCATATAAATATGCCTATATTTTCTCACATAAACTCAAAAATTTCATTTTAATGACAAGTTTTGTCATGAACTCATAAAAGATTACAGGGGCTTTTACACTAACACAATTCAATTTATGTTTGGATATGTTTAGAGAGTGAGAGAAGACCAGATTGATAAAATAAATTTTATAAAAGCAAAAATAGGCCGGGCAGGCATGGTGGCTCACGCCTGTAATCCCAGCACTTTGGGAGGCTGAGGCAGGCGGATCACGAGGTCAGGTGATAGAGACCATCCTGGCGAACATGGTGAAACCCCGTCTCTACTAAAAATACAAAAAATTAACCAGGCGTGGTGGCGGGCGCCTGTAGTCCCAGCTACTCGGGAGGCTGAGCCAGGAGAATGGGGTGAACCCAGAAGGCAAAGCTTGCAGTGAGCCGAGATCGCGCCACTGCACTCCAGCCTGGGCGGCAGAGCAAGACTCCATCTCAAAAAAAAAAAATAATAATAATAATAATAATCATTTAAGTTTTTTACAGAGAAAGAGAGTGTGAGAGAGAAAGAGATACTTTTATCGTATATAAACTCAGCTATAGTGAGGACACTGGCTGTTTTAACCTGAGGATACAAAAGAAAATGACATAGTCTTTGTTCCTAAAGTTATTTAAATTCAATATTATTTTGAAAAAGAAAATATACCAAGATCTGGATAGTCATGAGAAGCTTTCATGATAGGTTGAGCTTGAACCAATAACTTAACCTATAAATTGATTTACTGTGGCATGTGTATGTACACTCAACACCAGTCAGTCTACCTATGAACACCAGAAGTTGAAGTCACCTGAACTTGAACCTCTGAAATTTTTAATGCCAATGTACTGTCTCCAGTCAAACACTTCTCTTATATCAGTCATTCCACTAAATGTGTCTTGGGATATCTGAACTTCCACTTTATTAAAACTTCTAAAGAAATACTCTAAGTGAAGCAGTGTAATAATTAACATAGTTGTTTTTAGGTGTTTACTAGAGTTTCTTCGGCATTTTGATGGGTTGTATAATTACTGAAACCCTATGGCTTAATTTTAAATATTGACTTGGCCATTTACTAACTGCCAGATACTGGTTAAACTGCTTAGTCTATCTGAACTTCTCTTCTTACTTGTAAATTAAGGATTATAGTAGTAACTACTTCAGTAAATGGGCTTAAATTATGTAAAACCCATAGAAGAGGACCCTGCAAATAATAATTAGAATATATACTGAATGTTCACTACTATTACTAGTACCACTATTACTTCTACTAGTACTACTAGTAGTAGTACTAATGTTATTATTACTACCTAGGAGATTATTTGCTAACATTAGTATCAGCAATATAGCTCTCTACTCTTGAATAGTTAGTAAACTTTTACCTGGAAATCATTTACTTTTTAAAGTTGAATTAATGACAACAGTTCTACCATCCAGGATTAAATGAATTGATTATCATTTTAATTAGCACCTTAGTGAATGTAAGAGTGTCTTACTTAGCTGTATGTAGGAAAAAAACTGAAGCAATGGTTGCTTAAGAAAAAAAAATATTTTTTTAATAGAAGACCAGAGATCATTGGAAACCTAGATTCCTTATGTCTTTCTCCCATTTCATACTTTGTATAAAGCTTCCATCCCCCAGTTTCTTTCATGATTCGAGATGGCGGCTAGAGTTTGAGCTAGAAGTCTTTTCACTGAGGAAAAGGAAAGGGAAGTGGAGCAAGACCCAAACAGCATCTATCTTCCATCTGAGTAGCACTTTAAAGAAGCTCTACAAAAGTGATAGCATCTGAATGTTTGTTATTTACTTGTGAAATGCAAACTACTGTTCATGATATAGAAACTCCATATGCTTGGATCTAGTTAATGTGGAGGTCAGTGATCTCTCCCAGAAGATGTTTCAATTGTACCTTGAGAAAGAGTTTAAACTATTATACTATAAAAGGTCTAGAGATGTTAAAAAGTACAGAATAATATTTGGAAAATAATTAATAACTAAATATTGCCAAAGGATGTTGAAGACCTACTGAGAACTGATGCTAGGAAAGTAGTGTGCTGCTAGGACAAGAAGGTATTCATGTCCTTTGTAGGGACATGGATGAAATTGGAAATCATCATTCTCAGTAAACTATCGCAAGAACAAAAAACCAAACACTACATATTCTCACTCATAGGTGGGAACTGAACAATGAGAACACATGGACACAGGAAGGGGAACATCACACTCTGGGGACTGTTGTGGGGTGGGGGGAGGGGGGAGGGATAGCATTGGCAGATATACCTAATGCTAGATGACGAGTTAGTGGGTGCAGCGCACCAGCATGGCACACGTATACATATGTAACTAACTTGCACATTGTGCACATGTACCCTAAAACTTAAAAGTATAATAATAATAAATAAAAAAGAAGGTATTTGTAATCTAAGATAGAATAAAATAAAAATTATAATTTCTAACATGAATTGGGTACTTACTGCATGCCATGCACTTATAATGGTCCACAGAGAAGGTATATACTGTTCACATGTCCAGAAAGAAAACAAAATGACTACTGCTTCTAAGAGATTTTAGTGACCACCTAAAACCTCTAAAGTGTCAGCCTCAGTATCAGTAAGTGAATGGTAAAGTCAGCATCAGGATCAAATATAGGAGCTCTAATTCAAGAGCCATCTTTCTTATTGGTATTTTTAATGCATGGAATGCTCACAATTTTATTTTCACAGTACATTATAGGTCTTTTTGAAACCATTCAAAATTTTAAGGAAAAATTTTAAAGTAAAATTCTGAAAGCAGATTGAGAAATAGGAGAGATAAATGTTTAAAGGTGGCAAAGAGATCTAAAATATTCTATTTAATTATTCATTCATTTATTCATTGATGCTAAACATAGTGGGAATATGTGAGGTGAGTCTCCTACTTTTTTTGAGGTGTACAGTGTAGTGAACTTAAATACGTAAAATAGCATAGAAACACACATTGGCCAGGCGTTGCTAAAGAATAGGTCTTTTTCCAAAGTAGTGTTTACATGAGGGGTATTTTTATCCCTAATACAACTTTAAACTAAAAACTTGTTTTCTGGTATGTCTCCCAGCAGGAAGAAATGAGATTTGATTGTTTCCCACTAAGGTTAAAGAATATAAGACATTTAGGAAATTGAAATTCAGTACAAAGTATAATTGAAACAACATATTCTAACAAACCAGATGCATTTTAATATAATTTGCTATAACAACTTATTTCTTTTTTAACATTTGAGAAGATGCTTGAGCAATTGATCCCAGACTATAGAAACTGATTCAAACTTGCTTCAATTATATTTTCAATATTGTTTCTATAATGAACCCCTTGTAAAAATGATTTAAATTACTATATATTTTCAGGCTCTTAGCATTTTAGAATAATCACCACCACATAATTGACAATATATATTATAAGCAATATTGATATTAAGTACTGTGACACCTGAATGGCTATTTCTCTTTCAGCATATTGGCTATAATACATTAAAATAACCAGAAAAGAAAGTATTCAAAATATAAAATTAGTTTTAAAAATTACTAACTGTTCAAAACCAGGGAAAATAAGACAAAAAGCATTTTAATACTGAAGTACAGTTCTAACAAACAAAAAACTTATCTTACTTCATTTTATCTACTGTATTTTTCAAAGTTCATATATTCTCCCTAAATTCTCTGATACATGATAAAATTATTTTCAAAATGGTTGAGTTTTTTCATTTAGACGTGCTTTCACTAACATGTTGATCAAGTCTAGGTAAATAACATAAGCACAATCAGCTTAGTCTTTTGTAGCATAAAAATTAGAGTACTGAGAGGTGAAGCCAGATGGACTTCCTGGGTTGCGTGGGGACTTGGAGAACTTTTCTGTCTAGCCGAAGGATTGTAAATGCACCTATCAGCACTCTGTGTCTAGCTAAAGGATTGTAAATGCACCAATCAGCACTCTGTAAAAATGCACCAATCTGCAGTCTGTGTCTAGATAAAGGATTGTAAATGCACCAATCAGCACTCTGTAAAAATTCACCAATCAGCACTCTGTGTCTAGCTAAAGGATTGTAAATGCACCAATCAGCCCTCTGTAAAAATGCGCTCTGTGTCTAGCTAGAGGATTGTAAATGCATCAATCAGCACTTTGTATTCCCAATGCACCAATAAGTGCTCTGTGTCTAGCCAAAGGACTGTAAATGCACCAATCAGCACTCTGTAAAAACGCACCAATCAGCACTCTGTGTCTAGCTAAAGGATTGTAAATGCACCAATCAGCACTCTGTAAAATGGACCAATCAGTACTCTGTAAAACTGACCAATCAGCACTCTGTAAAATGGACCAGTCAGCAGGATGTGGGTGGGAACAAAAGGGAGTAGAAGCAGGCCACCCCAGCCAGCAGTGACAACCAGCTTGGGTCCCCTTCCACACTGTGGAAGCTTTGCTTTTTCACTCCTCACAATAAATCTTGCTGCTGCTCACTCTTTGGGTCCGCACTACCTTTATGAGCTATACCACTCACCGCGAGGGCCTGCAGCTTCATTCCTGAAGTCAGTGAGACCACAACCCACTGGGAGGAACAATCAACTCTGGACTTGCCACCTTTAAGAGTTGTAACACTCACTGCGAAGGTCTGTGGCTTCACTCCTGAAGTCAGTGAGAGCACGAACGCACTGGAAGGAAGAAATTCCAGACACATCTGAACATCTGAAGGAACAAACTCCAGACACACCGTCTTTAAGAATTGTAACACTCACCACGAGGGTTGCGGCTTCATTCTTGAAGTCAGCGAGACCAGGAACCCACCAGAAGGAACCAATTCGGGACACAGTACTAGCATTGTATGATTTAGCATTAGGTTTGCTGCATGTGACATGCTTAATCCAGATATCTCTCTTTCTCTCTCTCTCTCTGTGTGTGTGTGTGTGTGTGTATATACATAGATATATAATTGTTATTATTATTATTCTTTTACTTTACAGGGATCCCAGAAGAGCAAACAGTCCCGGACTAATAGAGTAGCTCTACAGTGCCATCAGAGCTGGAGGCCCCTTCTATTTGTTCATTCTGTCATCCTTAACATGTTCTTTCATTGTTATGGTTTCAAATCTGTTCCACTTCAGTCACCATGCCAACAATCCAGTATAAAAATAAAGGAATGGAGAGAAAAAATAAAGATGTGCCCTTTTCTTTTTGGCACAATTATGATCCTATAATCTATATTACCCTTAACTGGCTTTTGCTGTAATAAAACCATAACAACTGTAATCTCAACTAATAGGGAGACAGAGGCAGGAGGATTACTTGAGCTCAGGAGTTTCAGCTTGGGCCACAAAGCAAGACCCAGTCTCTGAAAAAGAAACAAAACAACAAGATACAACAATAAAATCGTAACAACAAAACACTAAGAAATCATTTCAGGTCAGTACATATTTACCACACAAAAACTAATGTAATATTAATGGATGTGTAAGTTTTAAAATTTTTTTTCATAAATGGAAGCAATGTTACAAGGGAAACACTTGGGAATGTCTTGCATTCTTGTGTGAGTATAACATTAGATAATTTTTTTAGAAATATAATGTCTAGGTAAAGGCATATAATATTTAAAATTTTGAAATATGTTGCCAAAATGTCCTCCAAATGTATTGATTCATAATTCTAACAGCAATGTTGAGTATATTTGTTCTTTTACACACATTTCAAAAATATATATTTTCAAACTTGTTATTGTTGCCAATTTTGTAGAATGAAATGGGTTTCATTATTTAGTTGGCATTTATTTAATTATGAGTGAGTTGAATACTATTTCGAATGTTTTGGGCCTTTTCTTTAACTTTTTATGGTTGAGAGTGACGTAAAATTATCTCATACTTAAAGAGCATTCATAATACATTACTTTCATTTCAGGACAAATTATAATTATTTTGTGCATTTAGCATAATTATTTACCTTTTTTAGAACTGTAGGACAAAACATTTTAACTGTATCTAAGTGGAAATGATGGCAGTGGTGGCCCTTCTGAAGTAGCTGCTGTGAAGATGCCAGTTGCAGCAGGGGAGGCATGGCTGAGACTGTGCCCTCTGTGGAACTGGCAGGGGCTGGGAACCGGGGGAGCCCTGCCCCCTACCGAATTGGCAGGATGGGAGCACCGCCCTCCTGGGCACAGAAGCAGCCACCCAGCCATAGCTATGGACCCAGGTATCTCTGTGCTCTTGGGGGCCCAGGAAGCCCCTGCAGGCTTGAAAGTTCCTGCTCCCATTCCCAGCATCCACTCCGGGACAGAGAAAAGTTGTGGCCAAGCCTGGGCACTGTCGCAACCCTGCCGGGTGTGCATGCACTTAGAGTGACTCTGACATGCCAGCTCCCTGCCTCCTTAGCACCCTCTGGACTTTGGGTGCTGACGAACATGGGAGGGAGGCTGAGGTGGGGACTAAGGGCAGCTTAGCGTGGGCCTTCCACCCCTTGGCACAAACAGCCTGGGTGCTGTGGATGGCATGTTGATGGCAGGAGACAGACAGGTTCATGGGTGGAAAGGGGCAGATCCCTGGTGAAGCCCCACCTTCAAGCCAGGAACAGCCTGAAGCCTGTGGGCTGGGCTGCCAGTTCTGTGGAAGCCTGGTGAAGTCTGCCACCTGGAGTGAGAACTTATGCTGCTTTTCCAGGCCTCCCCATGGCTGCCCATGGACCAATCAGCATGTACTTCCTCTCTTCTGAGCCCATAGAAACCCCAGACTCAATCACTTAAACAGACGTCAAGACTACCACTGCAGAAAGGTATTACTCCACTCACTGGGACAACTTGCCTGCAGAAAGGAGCTACCTACTGCGGATCTCCTCTCCACTGAGAGCTGGATACTTATTGGGATGACTTGCCTGTGGAAAGGAGTTACCCACTTCAGGTCTCCTAAGAACTGTTCTGTTGCTCAATGAAGCTCCTCTCTGCTTTGCTCACCCTTCAGTTGTCCACATACCTCATTCTCCCTGGACATGGGACAAGAAACTTGGTAACCGCTGAATGGTGGGACTGAAAGAGCTGTAACACAAACAGGGCTGAAACACACCCTGCCCACACACATTTGCATCGCATGGGCAATGAGAAGGAGAGAAGAACTGTGGCCCTATGAGGGGCCCAGGTCTAGGGGCTCCCTGAGCCAAGGCTGTGACAATCTCTTCAGGGCTCTCTGTTTCCTGGTGTCTCTAAGCTTCTGGGCACACCGTGTTCCCTTTGTCGAGACACGGAAGCCACATGCAGTACATCTGGTCCAGCTGCAGCCTTGCATGAATCTGCCCAGAGTGCCACAGCAACCAGCATGCCTAGCTCTGTGCAGTGCCCAGACCCCATCCTTGCTCACCCACACACCTCTCATCACTCTGCACTGGGCTGGCCCTTGGCAGCTGTGGGATTGAGCCTGGTGGCATGAGCTGAGCACAGCCTGCCAGGCTGAGTGGACAGAACTAGCCCAGCAGGCATGAACCAAACTCAGGTGGAAGGCACCACTGACCACAGAGGTTTTTGGCTGGTGAACTGACACCCCAAGGATCCTGTGAAAACAACACTCATCACTTGTCTTATCATTGAGTGTTTATGAGTTTAAAACTATTGATTAAACTACCTAATGCCCTGGGCTTTTTAGCTACTTAGACTTTGGGACAATAGTCAATTCAGATATTGGCATTTTTATATCAATACTTGCAGAAAAATTCATGGTACCATTGTAGTATCAATAAACATATTCTAAATAAATCTATGTTCATCCACACACATAGAATAACACTTTTAACAAGTTTCATTAAGATGGATAAATATGACATCAAAAAGGCACGGCATGTTGTGTAGGTCACAGACTGCAAAAAGCAGATAATTTCAAATTCCAGCTTAATCATGAATAAGCCACATAATGTGATAAATATTTACTTGTTAATTCATGAATTTTACTTGACTTTCTGTCCTATGAAAAAAAATTAAGTCAAATCCTTGCATAAATAACTGAAAATTATTTTCATTATCTGAAGGGCTATTAGGAAGATTTGAAATATTAATATAACAGAATCTCAACAAATATTTTATGCCACTTTTAGAATGTTCTTTTGTTCAATAAACAAAATGGTTCTCAGTTGTCTTCTTTGTGGCATGTAAAGTCTGCTGCCTAAATTTCAAAGCTCATCACTGTCTTGATTTTTTTTCTCCACAATTTGCTAATTCCTTACTCTGATGTTATAATCTGCATAGACCTTACACTCAGGCAAGAGGAGTCCCACCCATGGGCCCCACAGCTAGTAGAATTTGTATGTCAGAAATGCACACGCATAAAATAAGTTAATGAAAAACTTGTACACATCTCTCAGGAAGGAAGACAGCATTAAGCCTTAGAACATTGCAACCCGTAATCCTAAGTGTTTGCTCTCATGCTTTACAGCATTCATACTCCAGTGAATTTAATGTACACTCCCTTCACTTATATTCTGAAAACAAAAATCACTGCATTCAAATGCTCTGAAGGTTTATAAATCAGAGATATTCAAGGTGAATTGCAGTCAGAATTTGTGCAGTGTTGTCCTTATTTGACTAAAAGACAAATAAATAGACTTGTCAAATATTTCCTTTCAAATGGCATGAATGGAATATATTCTTGTTTAACAAAGTGTCATTTCCCAGTATTGTCCAGCATCTAATTTCTGCCTTTTCTTTGTGTTTCAGTCTGTGGTTTAGGGGCTTCTCACAAATTAGCAATATATTCCCAACAGTTGTTTGGCAGCTGAGGAACATTTTGTACCTAAATACTTTCATTATATTTGTATATATGTAGGTATAGGCCTAACATGAACAAATCATGATACTGATTATTTACATGGGTGACCAGATGAGTATTGAACATTAAAATAGTGAGTCACTTTATTTTTGTAAAATTATGTATAAAATTTAATTAAATTTTTCAAAAAATAAATATACATTTTTAGAATTTCACCTACATTCAAATAATTTTGATATATAAGTTAAAATGTTTAGACATAAGATATGTGAGCTCTACTTGAATTGTTTCTAAAAGTCTAGCAAATTCCAAGGGCAGATCTGTTTAGTCCAGGGTGTCCAAACTTTTGGCCTCCCTGGGCCACATAGGAAGAAGAAGAACTGTCTTGGGCCACACGTAAAATACACTAATACTAACAATAACTGATGAGCTTAAAAAAAAAGTCACAGAAAATCTCATAATGTTTTAAGAAAATTTATGAGTTTGTTTTGGGCTCCATTCAAAGCTGTCCTGGGCCATATAAGGCCTGCAGGCCATGGGTTGAAGAAACTTTGTTTAGTTCATGTTATTTGTGCTTCCTAGGTTGTAGCAACCATTAGGAGCAGGCATTTTATTGATCAGAATTGTGGTATTACTACTTGTGCTTATGCAAGTGGGCTTCAGGTTCGGATGGAAAAAAGCAACAATAAAATTACAGGATGAAGTGATAGTAGTTATCCTTGGTGACACATTTATTTCATAAAGAAGCTTAGAAATCTGTACCCTTTTATCACTGTTATCTCAAGGGTACTTAGAATCTTTATGTGAATTGGCAGAGAGACTACTCTGGTTTACCTAAGGTGGAAAGGTTATGCATGTATGTGTGCATGTATTTATCTATCTATCTATCTATCTATCTATCTATCTATCTATCTATTTATCCATCAACTGGTTGAGAATTTTGAATGTGTGTAACTAAGGGAAGAATCTGGCCCTCCTGGCTCAAGAACTTTTAATAGTATTGGATTGAAACCCAGTGAGGGAGCATTAAAGTTTGTTCAGTTACTGAGAACATGTAGCCTCAATCACCTTTGCCTTTGTGTCTTCGTTTTCATCTCTCGGCTTTCACCTTCTCTATGAAGCAGTGACAGAAATCACAAATGTGGTGCAGCATGGAAGTTCAGTCAGGCCAGTGGGAAAAATTTTAAAGATAGTTATAAGAAATAGACACAAACCTTCTTGGAAGGCTGGAGGGGGGTTTCATAAGCTCCACTAATAGATCAGGCTGAAGGCAGCCTAATTCTTACCTTGAGTTAATAGCTCAGGGTGCAGATACAAAGGAATGTAGAGTAGTTTATCTAAATACCTTGTTTACTCCTGTGGTCCTAAGACCAGCCTTTGATCAACCTTGAGTACATAACTGCTCTCTATTCAGGAAGTTGCAATGTCACAATGACAATTACCCTCTAGTGGTGTTTACTCAAGACCTTTGTCATTTAATCTATACTGAATAAATGCGAGCTTTGCTGGCTGATAGGGCTGTGGCTGCAACTCTACAGCACCATCCTTGGTGCAGGTAAGTGGCCCAGACCCTCTGCAGGACTGACAGGCAAAATATCTGTGTCAGTGTATGTTATTCATCCATCCTTAGGTCAGGGTCTGTGGAATAGACCTCTGCAGTGTGAGGTAGGGGTTGGGGGGCACAGGTTGTTATAAAGTCCTTATTTGCCCTGGTTAAACACTCCCTGTTGCACTACTATTAAAATTTGCACTTTAATGCAGTGAATGTCAAAAACTTTATTTCTTTTTCTAAAAATTATAATTTTGGTTAAATTTTGAGTCATCACTATATGTCAAATATTCTGTTAGAACATTTTCCATTCACTACCTGAGGAATCCTGCTAAAAATTAATGAGCTAAAGGTACAGGCCCTACAGCTAAACTTCTTGAGTTAAATTCTCAGTGCCTACTCTTGCTAACCTCTCTAAGCCTAGATTCCTAATCTGAGAAGTAAAGACAATAATAGCACCCTCCTCAGGAGGGAGTTGTGAGGGTATTTCAGTTAGTATTTATTAGATACTTAGAACTATGTCTGATATATTGTAAGCACTCATTACATATTATCTACTATCATTACTCTGCTGTAATGTTGGTTATTTTTCCTTGTTGGTTGGTTTCCTCTTTTCTGGATATAGTCTGAAGCCAGCAAATAATTTTAATTGTTATTATTATATTTTTGCAAACTAGGGCCATGTAGTTAAATCCATATGTTATGGCTTAAATGTTCCTGTCCCTCCAAAGTGCCTATGCTTAATTTTATTCTCCAATGCAATGGTACTCAGCAGGGGGTCCTCTGAGAGGTAATTAATAAGGTCTTGAGAGCTCTCTCCTCATGAGCAGGATTAGTTCACTTATAAAAGAGGCTCTAGGAAACCCTTTTCGCCTTCCATAGGACAACACAGCAAGAAAGTAACATTTATAAAGCAGAAGATACTCATCAGATATTGAATGTGCTGATGCCTTATCTTGGACTTCTCAGCCTTCAGAACTGTGAGCAATTTCTGTTATTTATAAGTTACCTAGTCTATGATATTTTGTTATGGTAGCCCAAATGAGCTGAGACATCATACACATCAGTCTAATTTAGCTATTTACACATTCTAAAGTTAGATATATGGAAAAGTTAGGGTTAAATAGCTACTGCCAGACAACATACTTACAAAATACTACTTATGAATAAGGACTTTCATATACAGACACAGGTAATAAACTTTTCTATAACAGCCCCATCATTTAAACATTAATCTTTTTATGAAGAGTGAATACTCAATTGACTTTTCAAGACATTTTTTGCAAGAAATAAAATATAACTGCTAATGTCCTAGAGATATAGATATCCTCAGAGTACACACTAAATGATTGTTAAGATGTGGGGGGAACATTAATCTACTATATCACTACATGTAAATGGTGCCCCCTTTTGGATGATAAATCTGAACTAATATAATCTAAAATAATGAATTATAAAACCAGGGAATGTTTTCCTATTAGTTATATAATGTATTTAAAGTCATTTTCTTTTAAAAAAGTGATGGCAACTTTAATAGATAATAATATGTATCTATTATTAGATAATGCTTGTAAGGCTCTGAATTATAAAACTAATGGTAAATTTTGTCAGTTCTTAATTTTTTGGCAGACCACAAGTACATTAATAAATTAAATCAATAAATTAAAGAGTTAGCAGCATAATAAAAATTGAAGGTATCATTGATATGATTGTCACATTAATGTATTCGTTTATAATAAATTAGAAATAATTGTGTAATGTTGCAGAAAAATCATCCTCTCTTTTATGTATTTCTTCCTTCTCTTTTATGTATTTCTTTCTCTTAAAAACTTTGGATGCCTTTTTTTTTTTTTTTTTAATGATAGCCTTTGACTTGGAACCATCTGTAGGGTGCACTGTATTTCTGTTATATAGCTCAGCGGGGAACTTTAACACATCCTGTAGGGCACTTAGTGTATAGTATCAATTTGTTCTGCTGACAAAATGACTCATTTGTTGCTTTGTTCTCTGTTATCTTATTTTGTCTTCTTGTATTATTGTTTTTATTCAGATGGTAAATAACAATTTAGTGTAATTAAAAGTCACTTACTGTCAGTGAAGAATCATACAAATTCTTCTAATGGAAACCTCTTAACGTCTTCATAAAATAATGTACTAATAAAAGACTTTGTAGTTTCCTTTTTTTCACACCAAACAATTCTCGGGCAGCATTTTTTAAGTTTTATTGGGACATAAGAGTCAAATACAGCTTCTTTTTTCAAATTTAGAGAGAATGATCAATAGTTTCTAACAGATACCTATTCCATAAATTTGAGTGAGGAAATTTTCAATAAAATGTAATTGTAGTGCAATGAACACTCATGTCTCCATCACTTAATTGCAGCAATGTGTTTATACACCCACTTTCTCCCACCAGTTATTACAACAGATTATGTAGAAAAAAAACCCCAAAAACATTTCATCTGTAATTATCTCAGCATATCTAAATAAAAGATAGTACATACCTTTATAAACATAACCACAATTTTATACCTAACTAAAAGATAGTACATACCTTTATAAACATAACCACAATTTTATACCACACCCTTACCCCAAAATTGGAAGTAATTCATTCATTAATATTAACAAATATCCAATCATTGTTTGCAGCTTTTTATTTGTCAAAATTCAATCAAGATATAAGACAATTGTAAAAATGGACTATTTTCATCATACCAAAAAGTCTATGTCTGACTCTTCAAAGTCAAGCTTTCCCTTTACTTTCCAATACCTGACAACCAACCACTGATCAGTTTTACATTCCTAGTTTTATCTTTTCTATAATGCCACACAAATGAAATCACATAATTGCAGATTTCAGTCTTACAAATTACTCCACAATCATTTGACCATACATATTGAGTTTATTTATGCATCTGTTGCTGTTTCCATTATCTACTTATCGAGATTTACAGTGATCCTCCATTGTCTTCATTATTGTATTGTTACAATAGAGTAAGTTCTTCAAGTATGTTTCTTGTTTTTGAATTTTTTTTACTTTCTTTTTGAGCGGAAGGATATGCTTAGTCCTTATTTCCATATTAATTTTAGAACTAGCTTCTCTGGGGACAAACAAAAACAAAAAAAGCCTTTTGGAATTTTTGTATAATTTTGAATAGGATTGCATTAAATCTACATATCAATTGGGGAAATTGACATCTTAACAATATTAGGTCTTCGAATTCATGAACATCATATGTCTTTCTACTTATTTACACTTTTAAAAACTGTTTATCATAAGTATTTTGTAGTTATCAGCTATAAAATACAAGTTTTACACATATTTTCAGCTATATACCTAGATATTTCATATTATTTGTTGCCACTGTAAGTGATAACTTCCAAAATTTTAATTTCTAATTGTTCTTTAAAAGTGTTAAAAAATACAGATGATTTCTAAAAATCAATTTTTTATGTTGTGATGTTGCCAAGTACTTAAGTTTTAGTAGCTAATTTTTTAGATTCTTTAGCATTTTCTATGTAGATAATGATGTCCTGAGCAAACAAAGAACATTCTATTTCCCTCTTTTCAAGTCTGTAGGAGACAACAATTAAATTTTGTAATAAACTCTTGACCTGATTTCCAAAGTAGTTTTTCCATTTTCCATTCCCACCAGTAATTCTGAATTCACTAAGTGAAATTATCTTTCAAATGTTGCATATTCTTTTCTAGAAGTTCTTTTTGTTTTTTTTTAATTATATACATCTTCTTTACATTATGTTTATGCTTACATGTATTTTTAGTAATAGCTATTTGGAGGATATTTTTTATTTCATTTTTTTCCCCAAGGTTATTTTCTGCCTTCTTTCACTATAGATAGCAAAAGTCTAGTTCTGTGCATATGAATGGATGCATCAAGTTTGGAACTGTGAGGATTACTTCTCAGATTCTATCACCAATGGAGCTTCCTGATATTCTCTGAGCAAGGATAAGAAAAGACCTGGAGACTGCTCAAGCTGAAGTAGAAAAGTGCTCATTTGTCCCTCTAAGTTGGCAGTGTTATCAGGGAAATAATGGGAATACTATAGAATTTTGCATTTGAATAGAGTTCTGAAAAAATGAGATATCTCAGGTTGACATTTAGTTTCATTTTGTGATTCTTTAAAATAAAAGTATGAACACCTTGTTTTTCAAAACTGATTATTTACAAAATATATTAGGACAAAGGAGGAAAATAATGTTGCCAAGTGGATAAGAGTGTGGTCTCTGAGAGAAAATTGGTTTGAAACCAGGCTTGCCTGTTTACCAATTAGTTATGTGGTTTTGGGCTAATTATTAACTTCTCTGTGTTTTGGATTTCTTATCTATACATTAAAAATAGGATTTTTTTCATAATTTTGATAAAATAATACCAACAAGCATTCGAAATTGCCTGCCTTATAAATGTTTTGTTGTGTTTTTTTCAAGTAGCATAGAGGTATGCCTCACATAGCAACATATGAACAGAGTGGCTGGCCTGGGCACAACTAACTCCTGTGAAAAACAGAAATTTTTCATGGACATTGATCATCGATAACGGAGCCTCAAATAACAGAAACCTTCAGCAAGAGGCTTTTCTCTCTATTTCCTGGGCTTTCCTTATCACCAAGGGCCAACAAACCCTTTATAAACCTTCAGTGGACAGGAAGCCCAAGAATTACAGGCTGAAGCAGGAAGTTTGGTTCTTCCAGGAACGATCTTTAAGCATTTTTTTTCTCACCATCCTCACAAATATGAACTGGCCACAGTCCGGGTATCAGATTAGTTCACTGATGAGGGCTGAGCTGATGGTTAGTACTGTGGAAAATGGAGAAGAGGAAGGTTAAGGAGTCACCATGTACTGGCAAGGTAGTGGACTTGGTGTAGTTGGAAACTCACTTGAAGACAGTGCAAGATTTTATTCAATTTTACTTTTTTAAAAATTTTGCATTAGTAAAGTAATAATTCTTTTTCTCCTAAATAAAATATCAAATTAGATTTTTGAAATAATGCTTGTTTTTTTTCCCTCTTTTATCACCCTATTTTGAAGATCTTGTTTGCTAATAACATCCCTGTGATGTTTCTGAGGCTAGTCCTAATTACTGAGTTTTCTCTTAATTATAGGTCACCTATTGGTGCTTCTTTATATGTTTAGTAATTTTTGATTAAGTGCTAAGCATTATGTGTTACATTTTTGAATGTTTGACTTTGCTCTCGTCTTTTAAAAAGTGTTAATTTTTGATATGCTGTTGAATTCTTTAAATTCAAACAATAGCATTTTTAAGCTTAATTGTGGGAGTGTAGCATATTTATTATTCTAAGGCTAGCTTATGTCTTTTAATAAAGTGTTATCTTTCTGGTCTTTCTACTGAATGTCAGATATTCAACAAGGTATCTCCACTCTGTCTAGTGAAATGCAAATATTTCTCAGACATGGGTAAGCTCCTGTAACTGTTCAACTTAAAGCTTTTTCTGCAATTTTTCTTTGCCTAACCTTGTAGTCTCACTTTATAACTATACAGATTAGTATTCAGTCAAAGACTCTAGGGTACCACTATGCAGATATTTGAGAATATTTATCTGCATAGATCTTTATTCATAAATAATCAGTCTTGAAATGTATCTGCCTCAGCTTCTCTGACTTCCTATCTGTCTTCCCATCTCACTGAAGAAACTCAGTGAGTCACCTGGATTCTACCATCATTCCTCTACCCCATGTTGAAGAAATTGCAATGCTATATCTATGTAAACAACCATAGTAAATGTGTACTTAGTAAATTGAAGTCATTCTTTCACAGGGATTACATAAAAATCTTGTTAGAGGAAATATTTTCTAAGAAAGTGAAGTATGGCTTTTAAATGCTATATTTGTCTGAATCAGTTAATGCCTAAGATTACTTTTGTTTTTTTGCTTCTCATTATAATTTAAACTTCTTATATGACTTGCATACATTCATATATAAAACAATAAGAAGTATGCAAACTAAAATATGTGATAATAGACATTGCCAGGGTATTTTGTTTGATTTTTAAATTATTCTTTTAAAAATAACCCTTCATGTTTTAGACAATTTTTGCCTTTCATTATTGCATTTATTTCATATGAATTTTTATTCTAAGTAACTATTGAATGCAATAATGAAAGTATTATTGAATGTATAAATCACCAATGAATCTGTAAATATAAAGAGACAAATTCATCTAAATAATAAATGAAGAACAGTTTCTACTAATTTGAAATCTGAGAGGAGTACTTATTACCAGAATAACTGTTATCAGTAATCTAACATATCTCCAAAATATGAAGACAGATGAAAAGCTAATGGTCAGTTAGTTAAAAAGGAAGCAAAACACTAATTAATCCTTTTGGAATCACTAAAAGAAAAGCAAATCAGGTTAATTTTGGATTATATATATAGTTTCAATTTCAAAAAGTCTAGATAAAAAGATAAATCTTGACAGTGTCCCCAGTACTTAGTTTAAAAAACGTTTTTTCTTTGATAACATTTCAAAACTAATTATAAAAAGACATTAAATTTATAAAGATTCAAGGCCATGACTATATACTTGAAGATGGAACCATGCAAATGACAATCAATTTTATAGTCCAGTTGGTGTCTGAATTATTTGGATCTGCATCATTTCATCTTGCTAACAGAAGACTTAGCCACAGATTGAAGCAATTTTCCAAGCTGTAATTTGTTGCTGTCATTTTCAATTAACTTACTACCATGTTGATAACTATTTAAACTGGCCATGGAAGAAAAACAAATGAATGCTTCTACATTTCTCAGCCATCTTCCATCTATAGGAGTGTATGTGACTAACTATAGCCAATGATTGGATTGCTGATTGAAATGTCATATACTTCCATATCTTGCTTCCTCAAATATCCTGTGACATACTGTAATTCACATTCATTTCATAAGCAAATGCAGAGAAACCAGCAGAACAACTTAATAATCTACAGGATGGAAGGAGCATAGGTTTCTGAATCGCCACTTGGAATCTGGCTGCCAACATTAAATTAGACTGACCTATGAATGAGAAATATCTCTGTCAACTTTAAGGCTGTCTGTGTCAACACTGGCCTGCTTTGATACCATGAAAAGAGATCTACTATTTTAGATGATAAAAGTTTCAAATTTCAAATATAATGAATCACTGGGAAAATGCAAAAAAAGAGCTTTTAAGTTTTACATCAGTTAAATAGCTATTGCATATTTTACCTAATGTTTGCTTCAATGTTGAGAATAAAATAAGAACAAGAAAGGGTAGCATAGCTAAAGAAGTGAATAAAACACATGTCTTAAGAGAAAATCCAAATGAATAGAATAATTTCACCTATGAAGAGAAGACAGGCTGGTGCGGTGGCTCACACCTGTATTTCCACACTTCAGGAGGCTGAGGTGGGAAGGAAATCTTGAGCCCAGTAGTTTGGGACAATCCTGGGCAATACAGGGATACCTCATCTCTACAAAAGATAAAAAGCCAGGCATGGTTGTGCATGCCTGTGTTTCCAGCTACTCAGGAGGCTGAGGTGGAATGATCACTTGAGAGCTCAGGAGGTCAAGGCTGCAGTGAGCTGTGATCCCGCTATTGCATTTCAGCCTGGGTGACAGAGGAAGACCCTTTCTAAAATAAATAAATAAATAAATAAACAAACAAATAAGAAGGAAAACGAAAAAAAGAAAAGGGAATAAGAAAGAAAAGAACACATTTTTTTTCCCTTCAAGTGTACACTGGGTTAAACCATCAGAGCATTAACAATAATAAAAACTTCCTTAGCATAGAAAAACTGATAAAATATTTAAAAAATTATGCAGCCAAAATATGACTAATATACAAATCCAGATTTAAGACAACACAATTTCACATGCCTTGAAAGCAGTCGACAAGCATGGTAAATTTAGGATTTGGTTGAGGAATTAGAAGAAAATGTCCAGGGTTTGCTTAAGGTAGAAAATGGAAAGAAGAAAGCTAAAAATGAATGAACCAAAACATGGAAAAAGAATAAACTCTAGGAGAGTAGGTGACTGGAAATGTTAAAAATAAGAAGTAAAATTAAGGAAATAAAAAACAAATAAAATGGAATCAACAAAGTCCAATTAATTCATGGTGGGGATAGGGGGCAGAACCTTTAGTGGGAATGACAACTTTAGGTGAGATTTAATAAGTTAATACATGATATTAAACAAATCTATAGTAATAAATTTGAAAGTTTACATAAAATAGACGTCATTAGAAGAACAAGTTGGGTACTGACAAGGGAAAACTATAAATTGTAAATAATTCTATAATTGAATTAAATCAATGGTCAAAAATTTTCTTTGAAGAAAATTCTAATCTCACATGGCACCAGTAGTGATTTTATACTTCTAAAAACATATTATTCCAGTCTTACACCAATTGGCTCTAGGAAACAGAAAAAGAAGGTACATACACACCGATTGTATTTTTAAGATGTACATGACCTTGATATCAAAACCAAATAGAGATAGTACATGAAAATAAATTGACATATAAATTTAACCCATGGGCGTAGATGAAAAATGCAAGCCTAAATATTACCATACCAAACTCAACAGTGAATACAAAAGGTATTATAACCCACAGAGATGGGTATATTTTAGGGATATGAGTTTATTTAAAATTAGTAAACTGCAAACATGGATCGTCTGACTTTCTCTCTTTCTATTTGGATGCCCTTTATTTCTTTCTCTTGCCTGATTGCTCTGGCCAGGACTTCCAGTACTATTTTGAAAGACATCCTTGTCTTGTGCCAATTTTCAAGGGAAACGCTCCCAGTTTTTGCCCATTTGGTATGATGTTTGCTGTGGGTTTGTCATAGAGGGCTCTTATTATTTTGAGGTGTGTTCCTTCATTACCTAGTTTGTTGAGAGTTTTTAACATGAAGGGATGCTGAATTTTATCAAAAGCTTATTCTGCATCTTTTAAGATAATCATGTGGTTTTTTCTTTAGTTCTGTATATATGATGATTCACATTTATTAATTTGCATATGTTGCATCAGTCTTGCATCTCAGAGAGAAAGGCTACTTAATTGTGCACAGATTACCTTTTTGATGTGCTGCTGGATTCACTTTGCTAGTATTTTTTGTTTGTTTGTTTTTTCTTGACACGGAACTTTGCTCTGTCGCCCAGGCTGGAGTGCAATGGAGTGATCTCGGCTCACTGCAACCTCTACCCCACCGGGTTCTAGCAATTCTCGTGCTTCTGCCTCCTCAATAGCTGGGATTACAGGCACACACCACCACACCCAACTAATTTTTTTTTTATTTTTAGTAGAGATGGGGTTTCACCATGTTGTCCAGGGTGGTCTTGAACTACTGACCTCAGGTGATCCAACTGCCTTGGCCTCCCAAAGTGCTGAGATTACAAGGGTGAGCCACCTCACCCGGCCCACTTTGCTAGTGGCTGGGTGCAAAAAAAAAAAAACATATTTTTGCATCAATGTTCACCAAGGATATTGGCCTGAAGTTTTCTTTTTTTGTGGTATTTCTGCCAGGTTTTGGTATCAGGGTGATGCTGGTCTCATAAAATGAGTTGGGGAAAAGTGCCTCCTCTTCAATTTTTTTGGAATAGTTTCAGTAGGAATGATGTCAACTCCTCATATATCTGGAAGAATTCAGCTGTGAATCTGTCTGGTTCTGGGCTTTTTTGGCTGGTGGGCTATTTATTATTGATTCAATTTGGGGGTCGATATTGGTCTGTTCAGGGATTCAATTCCTTCCTGGTTCAGTCTTGGGAGGGTATAGGTGTCCAGAAATTTATCCATTTCTTCTAGATTTTCTAGTTATTGTGGGTATAGGTATTCATAGTACTTTCTGAAGGCTATTTGTATTTCTGTGGGGTCAGTGGTAATATTCCCTTTGTCATTTCTAGTTGTGTTTATTTGAATCTTCTCTCTTTTATTCTTTATTAGTCTAGCTAGTGGTCTATCTATCTTATTATTTTTTTTCAAAAAGCCAGCTCCTAGTTTCATTAATCTTTGAAATTTTTTTTTTATGTCTCAATCTCTTTCAGTTCAGATCTGATTTTGGTTATTTATTGTCTTCTGCTTGCTTTGGGGTTGGTTTTCCCTTGCTTCTCTAGTTCTTTTAGTTGTGATGTTAGGTTGTTAATGAGATCTTTCTAGCTTTTTGATGTGAGTGTTTAGTGCTATAAATTTCCCTCTTAACACTGCTTTAGATGTGTCCCAAAGATTCCAGTATGTTGTATCTTTGTCCTCATTAGTTTCAAAGAACTTCTTGATTTCTGCCTTAATTTTATTATTTACCCAAATGCCATTCAGGGGCAGGTTGATTGATTTCCATTTAATTGTGTGGTTTTGAGTGATGTTCTGAGTCTTGAATATATTTTTAATTGTGCTGTGGTTGGAGAGAGTGGTTGGTGTCATTTTGGTTCTTTTGCGTATGCTAACAGTTGTTTTATGTCTGGTTGTGTGGATGATTTTACAGTATGTGCCATGTGGTATGAGAAGAATGTATGTTCCGTTGGTTTTGTGGGGGAGAGTTCTGTAGATGTCTATCAGGTGTATTTGGTCCAGTTTTGAGTTTAGGTCCTGAATATCTTTGTTAATTTTCTCTCTTGACAATCTGTCTAATACTATCAGTGAGATGTTGAAGTCTGCCACTATTATTGTGTGGGAGCCTAAGTTTCTTTGAAGGTTTCCAGGAACTTGCTCTATGAATCTGGGTGCTTTTGTGTTAAGTGCATATACATTTAAGATAGTTAAGTCTTGTTGAACTGAACTCCTTTGTACTATATAATGAACTTCTTGTCTTTTTTTGATCTTTGTTGATTTAAAATCTGTTTTGTCTGAAATTAGGATTGTAGCCCATGCTTTTTTTCTGTTTTCCATTTGCTTAGTAGATGTTTCTCCATCCCTTTATTTTGAAATTATGAGTGCCATTTCATGAGAGACAGATCTCTTGAACACGGTATACCATTGGGTATTCCTCCATTATCCACCTTGCTACTCTGTGCTTTTTAATTGTGGCATTTATCCCATATACATTTAAGGTTACTTTTGACATGTGTTAATTTGAACCTGTCATCATGTTGTTAGCTGTTTATTATACTGACTTGTTTGTGTGGTTGCTTTATTGTATCACTGGTCTGTGTACTTAAGTCAAACTATCCCTGTTTGCAGACCACATGATTCTATATCTAGAAAACACCAAAGTCTGGGCCCAAAAGTTCCTAAAATTGATCAACAATTTCAGCAAAGTTTCAGGATACAAAAATCAATGTACAAAAATCATTAGCATTTCCATACACCAGCAATACCCAAACCAAGAGCCAAATCAGGAGTGCAATCCCATTTACAGTTGCCACAAAAAAAATAAAATACCTAAGAATACAGTTGACCAGGTAGTCAAATATCTCTACAATAAGAATTACAAAACCCTATTCAAAAAAATCAGACGTGACACAAACAAATGAACAAACATTCCATAGTCATGGATAGGAAGAATCAATGTGGCTAAAACGGCCATACTGCCCAAAACAATTTACCGATTCAAAACTGTTTTTATCAAACTACCAATGACGTTTTTCACAGAACTAGAAAAACTATTTTAAAATTAATATGGAACCAAAGAAGATCCTGAATAGCCAAGGCATTCCTAAACAAAAAGAACAAAACTGGAGGCGTCACACTACCCAACTTCAAACTATACTACGGTTCTATAATAACCAAAACAGAATGGTATTGGTGCAAAAACAGACACACAGACCAACGGAACAAAATAGAGAGCACAGATATAAGGCTGCACGCCTACAACCACCTGATTTTCGGTGAAGCTGACAGAAACGAGCAATGGAGAAAGGAGTCTCTATTCAATAAATGGGGCTGGAGTAACTGGCTAGCCATATGCAGAAGATTGAAACTGGACCCATTCCTTACAGCATACACAAAACTTTACTCAAGATGGATAAATACTTAAATGTAAAACTGAAAGGATAAAAATCTTGGAAGACAAACTAGGCAATGTCATTCTGGACATAGCAACTGAAAAAGATTTCATGGCAAAGATCCCAAAAGCAACGCAGCACAATCAAAAATTGACAAATGGGATCTAATTAAAGAGCTTCTACACAGCAAAAGAAACTATCAACAGAGCAAACAATCTACAGACTGGAAGAAAATACTTGCAAACTATGCATCTGACAAAGGTCTAATATCCAGCATCTATAAGGAAGTTAAACAAGTTTACAAGCAAAAAAGAAATAACCACATTGAAAAGTGGGCAAAGGACATGAACAGACAATTTTCAAAAGAAGACATACATGTGGTCAGCAAGCACATAAAAAAAAGTTCAACATTACTGATCATTAGAGAAATGTGAATCAAAAACCACAATGCAATACCATTTCACACCAGTCAGAATGGCTACTATTAAAAATTCAAAAAAATATCAGATACTGGTGAGGGTGTAGAAAAAAGGAAACAATATATACTGCTGGTGGGAGTGCAAATAAGTTCAATTATTGTGGAAAGAAGAGCAAAGATTCCTCACAGAGCTAAAAACCGAACTACCATTTGACCCAGCCATCCCATTACTAGTCATATACCCAAAGGTATATAAATCATTCTACCCTAAAGGTTCATGCACCTGCATGTTCACTGCAGCACTATTCATAACAGCAAAGACATGAAATCAACCTAAAAGCCCATCAGTGGTAGACTGGGTAAAGAAAATGTGGTACATATACACCATGGAATATTATGCAGCCTTAAAGAAGAATAAGATCATGTCATTTGCAGGGACATGAATGTAACTGGAGGCCACTATCCTAAGCAAACTAAATCAGGAATAGAAAACTAAATACTCCATGTTCTCACTTACAAGTGAGAGCTAAATGATGAGAACACATGGACACAAAGAGAAGAACAACAGACACTGGGGTCTACCTGAGGAATGGGGGGGTGGGAGGAGGGAGAGGATCAGAAAAAATAACTATTGGCTTATAGTTAGGCTTAGTACCTGGGTGACAAAAATAATCTGTACAAGAAGCACCTGTGACATGAGTTTACCTCTACAGCAAACCTGTGCATGTACCCCAAACCTGAAAGAAAAGTTTAAAAAAACAGAAAAATAAAAAATAAAATAAGTAAATAAATAACGTAATCTATCATGTTAAAATAAAAATAAATAAAATATGTCACCTCATTACATATAGAAAAATAGTATTATGTATTGTGCTTGTAAATGATTTGGGGCATATACATTTGATTCTGTTGAGTATATACCTAGCAATCAAATTTCTTGATCAAAGGGTAAATATATCATCAACTTTTAGGAAATACTGCCAAATAGGAAATGTCTTCTTCCGGTCTGGATACTGTCTTAATTTTAGGAAGAGATTGAGGAACAGAGTTTGTAATTTTGTATTTTCCAATTGATTAATCTTTTTCTTTGTGAAAAAAACTTAGTTTTTAAAAAGGTAATCTCCCTCCCTCCTTTCTTTCTTTTTCTCTTTCTTTCTTTCTTTCTTTCTTTCTTTCTTTCTTTCTTTCTTTCTTTCTTTCCTTCCTTCCTTCCTTCCTTCCTTTCTTTCTTTCTTGCTTGCTTGCTTTCCTTCCTCTTTCTTTCTTTCTTTCTTTCGTTCTCCCTCCATCCCTCCCTCCCTTCCTTCCTTCCTTCCTTCCTTTGTTCTCTCCTGCCTCCTTCCCCGCCTCTTACCTTTTTGTTTCTGTCTTTCTTTAGAGAGTGTAAATATGTATTATTATCTTCCAAGGTGAATTAGAATTGTTGCATTTTCCTTTACAAATAAACATCTACAAAACAGAACTTCCATTCTATTGAACAGAAATATTCTAATTGCTGAGAAACTGTTTAAAGGAAGGAAAATCACAGACAGCAAGAAAGAAAACAATTGTTTAACAAATGAAGAAACTCTTAGCAGAGAAATTAAGGGGAAATAGGATTTGGAATGATCAGTTTAACAGTTTTTAACCATAGCTTATGTGAAATGTGAAAATAACAAGCCTTCTGTTATGCAGAGAGATTAGGCAACCAGATGACACAATTTAACATCGTGCTTAAGAGTATGGTTTTAAGAGTTAGAATACTTGAAGACAAAACTAGGGTCTTACATGTATTCACCAAGTGACCTTGGAAAATTTTCTAAAATTCTTTGTGACTTCGTTTTTTCATATGTACAATGAGGACAATAATGCTATATTGATACAATAACCCATATCATGACTAATAAAGATAAGTAACCTATATCTTAGGTTACTTACAGGGATTTCATGATTAATGCATGTAAACTACATAGAACAATGCCTGGAAAATATGAGTATTTAATAAATGTGATTTCAACCAAACCTGATATTTGCCTATCATTATTCCTCACACTCTAGCTCTTTCAAAATTCTCCGGCGCTGTCCATTCCTCCCAGCAACACATCTTGAGAAATTAGACTAGTCTTCTAAACTTTTTATATTCATTGTCCTGAAACCTTATAAATTCCCCCTTAACAATAGTTTTGGGAAGGTTCCATTGCAGACTCCATTTAAAACACCTGATCACTCACTTTCATTAATCCACGGATTTTGACTGCATTACTCATCATTATTCTTATTTTCTCCCTTTATATGTTTGCTTAACACTACTTGTTCCATAATATGTGGGTTTCCTTACACTTAGAATGTTTTCCTACTTTCTAGCAATCAGAAGTCTATACTTTCTTTCAAGTATTACTCTTCAGGAACACTTCGTCAGCTAATTCTACCTCTTACCAATCCATTATTTTGTTAATAATAATGTGAAGCGCTTACAATGCACTATCACATATTTTTATCAGACTTTGTTATGTATTCTGTCACACTAACTATGGCTATAATATCCTTATGAGCAAGAACACTACATGTCTGTAAGCCTCATAATAGTCATGATAGTAATTATCAGAGCACTGTAGTTATACTCTGTACCTGGTGAGAAATCAGAAGCAACATGAATCAGTCTGTCAGAAATATTTAATCATGTTGATGGTAGCCCTTCACAAGTAAATATTGTGATAAAATTTATCCCATGATAAAAATTATTATGCTATCAGACTATCACACTTTGTTTAGGAGCCATTATCTACTCTATTTGCCATCATCTGTGTCCTAATACCAAATATTATTTAGAAGTTGTAGCTTCTTCAACTTCCAGTCAACTGAAAAGATACCTGAAAATGTGTAAGCAACTTTGGAACTGGATAACAGACAGAGGTTGGAACAGATTGGAGGACTCAGAAGAATACAAGAAAAATATAAGAAAGTTTGGAACTCCCTAGAGACTTGTTGAATGGCTTTGACCAAAATGCTGATAATGATATAGACAGTGAAATCCAGGCTGAGGTGGTCTCAGATGGAGATGAGGAACTTCTTGGGAACTGGAGCAAACATCACTCTTGTTATGTTTTAGCAAAGAGACTGGTGGCATTTTGGCCCTGCCTGAGACATTTATGGAACTTTGAACTTAAGATAAATGATTTAGGGTATCTGGTGGAGGAAATGTCTAAGCAGCAAAGCATTCAAGAGGTAACTTGGGTGCTGTTAAAAGCATTCAGTTTGTTGTTGTTTTTGTTGTTGTTTTTGAGATAGGGTCTCATTCTGTCACCCAGACTGGAGTGCAGTGGCGTGATCTCAGCTCACCGCAAACTCCACCTCCCAGGCTCAAGTGAGTCTCCTGCCTCAGCCTCCTGAGTAGCTGAGATTACAGGCACCCACCACTATGCCAAGCTAATTTTTGTATTTTTAGTAGAGACAGGGTTTCATCATGTTGGCCAGGCTGGTCTCGAACTCCTGACCTCAAATGATCCACTTGCCTCTGTCTCCCAAAATGCTGGGATTATAGTTGTGAACCACCTTGCCCAACCATTCAGTTTTAAAAGGAAAACAAAGCATAAAAGTTTGGAAAATTTGCAGCCTGACAATGTAATAGAAAAGAAAATCCCATTTTCTAAGGAGAAATTGAAGCTGTCTGCAGAAATTTGGGCAAATAACAAGGAGCCAAATGTTAATCACCAAGACAATGGGGAAAATGTCTCCAAGGAATGTCAGAACCTTTGCAGCAGCCCCTCTCATCACAGGCCCGGAGGTTTAAGAGGAAAAAATGGTTTTGTGGTCCGGGCTCAGGGTTCCTGTGCTGTGTGCAGCCTAGGGACTTGGTGCCCTGCATCTCAGCTGCTCCACCAGCTATTGAAAGAGGAAAACATAGAGTTCTGGCCATGGCTTCAGAGGGTTCAAGCCCCAAGCCTTGGGAGCTTCCATGTGGCATTGAGTCTGGGAGTGCACAGAGGTCAAGAATTAAGGTTTGGGAACCTCTACCTAGATTTCAGAAGATGTAATATGGAAATGCCTGGATGCCCACGCAGAAGTTTGCTGCAGGGATTGGGCTCTCATGGAGAACCTCTGCTAGGGCAGCACAGAAGGGAAGTGTGGGGTCAGACCACCCACAGAGGGTCCCTACTGGGGCACCATCTAGCGGAGCTTTGAGAAGAGGGTCAACCTCCTCCAGACCCCAGAATGGTAGCTCTACCAACAACTTGCACCATGTGCCTAGAAAAGCCACAAACACTCATCGTGACCTCGTGAAAGCAGCTAGCAAGGAGGCTATACCCTGCAAAGCCACAGGGGTGGAGCAGCCTAAGACCATAGGAACCCACCTCTTCCATCAGCATGACCTAGATATGAGACATGGAGTCAGAGGAGATCATTTTGGAACTTTAAGATTTGACTACCCTGCTGGATTTTGTACTTGTGTGGGACCTGTAGCCCCTTTGTTTTGGCTAATTTCTCCCACTTAGAATATCTGTATTTACCCAAAGCCTGTACCCCCATTGTATCTAGGAAGTAATTAACATGCTTTTGATTTTATAGTGTCATAGGCAGAAGGGCCTTGCCTTGTCCCAGATGAGACTTTGGACTGTGGACTTTTGAGTTAATGCTGAAAGGAGCTATGACTTTGGGGGACTGTTGGGAAGGCGTGACTGGTTTTGAAATGTGAAGATATGAGATTTGGGAGGGGCAAGGGGAAGAATGATGTGGTTTGTCTCTTTGTCCCCACCTAAATCTCATCTTGTAGCTCCCATAATTCCCATGTGTTGTGGGAGGGGCCTGGTGGGAGATGACTGAATTTTATGGGCAGGTCTTTCCCATGCTGTTCTTGGGATAGTGAATGGGTCTCATGAGATCTGACGGTTTTAAAAACAAGGGTTTCTCTGCACAAGCTTCTCTCTCTTTTGTGGCCACCATGTAATAAGTGCTTTTCACCTTCTGCCATGATTGTGAGGCCTCCCCAGCCACGTGGAACTGTGAGTCCAACAAACTTCTTTCTTTTGTAAATTGCCCAGTCTTGGGTATGTCCTAATCAGCAGTGTGAAAACAGACCAATATACCATGCTTTCTCTGAAGGCTCTGGAAAAGAATCCTTCTTTGCTTTTTCTAGTATCTGGAATTTATCAGCAGTTCTTGGCATTTATTGGCTTAAGACTTCACCACTGCAATCTCTACATCCATCTTCACATGGCCTTCTCTTTGTGTATATTTGTGTGTGCTTTCCTCTTCTCATATGAACACTAGTCATTAGATTTAAGGCATCTTAATCTGGCATGACCTCAACTTAACTAATTATATCTGAAAATACTGTATTTCCAAATAGGGTCAAATTCTGTTTCTGGATGTATGTGAATTCTGGGGGGACACTATTCAACTCACTACACAACCTAAATGCCCCTCAACTGATGAGTAGACAAAATCTGATGTAGCCATACAATAGATGATTATTTGGCAATAAGAAGGAACGAAGCAGTGAGTGATGCATGCTGCAATGTGGATGAATGTTTAAAATGTTATATTAATTGAAAGAAGCTAGGCACAAAATATCACATATTGCATAATTCTATTTTTATGAAATGGCTAGAATTGACAAATCTATATAGGTACAAATAGATTAGGGGTTGCCTAGGGCCGGCAGAAAACATGAGGAGTGACTGTTGATGTTTATGTGTTTCTTATTATAGTGAGGAAAATGTTCTGAAATTAGATTCTGCTGATTTTTGCACAACTCTGTAAATTTACTAAAAACTATTGAACTGCACACTTTACATAGATTAATTTATTCTATGTAAATTATGTCTCAATAAAAGTTGTTAAAATATGATACATTATGTACCTGGATTTGTGCATACAGTTGTTACTTGTGCATAGAGTTATTTTATACATCTAGAATATGTGGTGACACTGAGTTCCTCCCTTTCTGCTGTTGATATTAAAGAATTGATGAAACAACATCTATATACATTGAGATTCATAAATATAACAAATCTATCTATGGAATATTCTCACAATTTATCATATTTCTACTAATTTTGATAATGGTGAGATTTGTCAAAAAGGATTCGTTTATTTTTCTATGTTTTATGATTTATATTTTTAAAATTTTTAAGTCCTTTTTCTCCCTACATGAGGTAATATAATCACCTTACAGTTTTCCCTTTCACATTTATGTTTTTAATTCATCTGAAGTTCAAGTCATTATGTATAATTAGGTAGATATTTAATTTTATTTCTCTCCGTATAATGATATAGTTTTTGTAACACCACCTACTAAATAATGCATGCTGTAATCCCTTTTAAGTGCTGACATACACATGGGTGAATGTCTTAGCTCCCTTTTATTTTCAGTTGTTCCAGTCTTATGCTATCACCACATTGCTTTTATTATTATTATTTCACATTTTCCTTCATCATTTCTCATGTAGAATAGAGTATATTGTATTATGTCCCCAACAGAATAAGAGTTCCAAAGATTTGAAATTACTCACTCTAGCAGTCAGTCCATGGTCAAACATATAAATATCTAATCCATATATATGGATAAACAAAGAACAAATGAATAACAATAAATATAAATAAAAGGACATGAATATGAATGAATAAACACGAGTAAATGAAGAATTAATGAATGAAATAACTATCATGTAGAAATTATGTGTCAAATGCTCAGTAAGACAAAATGAATTATTGATGTGGTCTTGTAAAATGGTAGCAAATGAATGCATTTTATAAGAAGCACATAAAATAAAAAGAAACTAAATGGTCATGAGAACAGAGCATGCTATGTAAAGAGGAGGGATTGTACATAGACTTAACTTTCCTTCTAAAAGGAAGGAAGGATAAACCATTACCATTTTATATTATAAATCAAAATTTAAACATAATGTGTTTAATATTGAAACTGGTAAAAGCTTGTATTAGAACATTATGTCATTAACTTTATGTTTTATTACAACTAGGGCATTGTTGATTTGAATTTGAAGATAAATACTAAAGATTATTTTTTAAAACCTGCCTTCAATTTGGAATTTAAAGTTTTATTACACTAATACAATTTTCATGGTAAGCCAACACTAATTGCTAATTAGACATTGCTTGCAGGTGCAAAATATAAAAACATTTCATAAAATTGTGGGGGGAGGGGGGAGGGATAGCATTAGGAGGTATACCTAATGTTAAATGACGAGTTAATGGGTGCAGCACACCAACATGGCACACGTATATGTATGTAACTAACCTGCACGTTGTGCACATGTACCCTAAAACTTAAAGTATAATAAAAAAAATTGTTAACACTTTATGATATTGTAGAGATCTCTATTTTATAGGAACTAGTAATGTTTGAAGTGAATTTCATTTTAACTAATTTTTTTTTTTTTTTTTTTTTTTTTTTTGAGACGGAGTCTCACCGTGTCACCCAGGCTCGAGTGCAGTGGCACGATCTCAGCTCACTGCAAGCTCCGCCTCCCGGGTTCATGCCATTCTCCTGTCTCAGCCTCCAGAGTAGCTGGGAATACAGGAGCCCGCCACCACGCCTGGCTAATTTTTTGTATTTTTAGTAGAGACGGGGTTTCACCATGGTAGCCAGGATGGTCTCGATCTCCTGACCTCATGATCCGCCTGCCTCGGCCTCCCAAAGTGCTGGGATTACAGGCGTGAGCCACCGCGCCCGTCCTAATTACTTTTTAATCATTTGAAAAGTCAACGAAATTGTGATTATTCTTCTTTGAAAAATAGTATTTATGTTTGTAAAATACGTAGGAATTCCTCAAAGTACTTCTTATCTGGACTTCTATCTATATCAAGCTTCCAGTGACCCATTAACACCTATATTTGTAACAAAAGTTATTTTTCTCCCTGCACAATTTGTACATCTATTTGTTCCTAATGAAGTAATTTTTTGAAATTATACAAGCCCAAACAAGACAATGTACAAAAATCTTAGGAAGTAGCTCCATGTACTGGCCTTCTATAGGCTTTTATTATTATTATTATTTTTAACTCTCAATATTTAGTTTAAAGGGAAACCAGAGATATGTACAAAGGTAAGGTCTCTTGCTTTCTATATATTGCTGTGAGTTGCTGAAGTTTAGAAAAGGGAATGGAGTAGGGAAAGAAAGAGAGAGAAGGAAGGAAATTAAAACAGAAAATTGGAAATTCATACTGTTGACAGTCTACCATGGGCCTAATGTATTTGTATATTTCTCATTTAACATTCACCAAAACATCATATATTATTTTCTAAGCATTTCAATTGATTTTTAAATTATAAACGTATGCTTATTTTTTGTATATTTCACATGCCATAATTTTTTAAAAATAAAACCATATGGTTATACTTTTTAAAGCTGTCTTTTGAAAGAGCTGGGCAAAATCAATTGCCCAAGTTCTTAGTTTACAGCTAAAAATGTGTCTATAATTAACTCTCTTAACAGGAAATTACCTTAGTGGGAGAAAGATATTTCAGGATTTGATTATCTTCGTCTTTTGTTTTGGCATTTTTGTAGAATAAAAACAATATAGAAAGATTTGTACATTAATGTTGGTACGAGGAGGGGATCACAATTAGAGAAAGCATGCAGTACTTTTCAAACATCTGAAGCAAATTTTGGTATGATTTCCACTATTTCTCCATATGTTTCCCTAAACTTTGAAAATATAACAATATTTTAACATATTAGAAACCTAATTAAGCATAGCAGTTTTAGGTCAGCTGCAAGACTTATTAGATTTCAGATTTTGACTTTTTAAACATTTTGTTTTATTTTTATACTCCTTTCCCTGAAGTAGTTCTATTTAAATGTGCATTTTATATCAGTACATTTCACATCTAATAGTCAAATAAGAATTTAAGTTTCATTAGGAAGAATCTAGTTGCTCTTTCTTGTTTCTACGTTTTCCACTTTTTACTTTTAAGAAAAAAAGTTCACTGGGTTTAATATTCAGATAAGTCTTAAAAATTTTTAAGTAGGATACATTATGAAATAACCCAGAAACAGAAGCTCAAATACCACGTGTTCTTACTTATACATGGAAGCTAAACAGTGAGTATACACAGATATACAGAATGGGAAAGTAGACAGTAGAGACTGCAAAAGGTGGGAAGGTGGGTGGGCGGCGAGTGTTGAAAAATGATCTATTGGGTACAGTGTTCACTATTTGAGTGATGGGTACACTAAAAACCCAAGCTTCACCACTGTACAATATTCCACGTAAGAAAACTGCACTTGTACCCCTGAATCTATAAATGAATAAATAAATGTCATAGAGTAAGAAAAAAAAGGAAACTTTTGTCCTTTTAAGCCACTGAGTTATTGATAATAATTATAATGATAATATTATTATCATCATTTATGGTAATTAGCTTTGCTTAAATATACTGTTTCCCTCTAGCTTATAAATAACATTTAATAAATATTATGTACTTAATAATATAATTTATTCTTAGGACTTGCTGTACGCCACATAATGTGCAAGGAATCTTATATACAATATTTTGCCTTTAATCTGCACAATAGCCCAATTTGAATGCTAAATATATATGATGGGAAAACTGATGATCAAAGTGGCTAAGTGACTTGCACACTAAATCAGATTTATTATACCAGGAGCCAGAGGGTAATTACAGTTTTATAACAGATATCACAAAAGTACATGCAGTGAACAAAGTGTTGAATAGTAATTCCTATGAAATCTATGGAAAGTGCTTTTACTAGGAGCTAGTTGCCTATTAGCATTAGTTTACAATCTTAGATTAAGAATGGAAACAAAAACCAATTTAGTGAAAGAAAACACTATTTTGGAATCTGAAATGTGGCCCCTTGAATTTCACACTTCAAACAAATAAAGTGAAAGTCTAGTTATACTAATACAAATTCTGCTTCTGTGACTTATGCTTAAGTCAAAATGCTTGAATCTTTAAAATAATAAGTAAGTAAATACCATAGTTGTCAGTCAAAACAAAACAACAGGCTGATTCTTTAACTTTTCTTTTTAGATTATCAGTGAAAATAAAAAATTTTTAAGTGTAGATACAATCTGAATTATAGAACTTACTTTTATTGTTCATATGCTAGTGAAAAGGGAGATGCCTAAAATATCTCAATGGAAATTTACAAGTCATAGATGCAATGAGCATGGACAATCTGACAAGAAGACAATTTTCTGAATGAGCAATGAAACTGTATAAATTTCCAGTTCTTCATTAACCTAAAAATCACAGTAGAGGCAGTTATTACCTGATGAAGTCGACACTGTTCAGGCTTCATTTTTTAGCCTCTATTACAGCATATGGAATGCTATTTAAATTTATCCTGGAATTTCTGCACTTGGCTGAGATCACAAGAATATGGAAGAAAGATACTTTGCAGATTTCTGGGTGTCCACCGGGCACCAAATGAACAAACTGATATCAATTTAATATGTGTGATGAGTTTGGCAGAGGTTGAGCAAAGGAGATGATTAAAGGTTGAAAATCAAGGCCTATGAGAAAAACAGTAAAAATAGAAAGCTTAATTTAGTATGAGAAAAGAAAATTAAGGAATAATTTAAGAATGCTCTTCGGAGATATGAAGTCTATTTTAGAAATGGTGATAGTTGTTTCTTTTTTCCAACAAAAAAGAGCAGAAAGAAATGAAGCCAATTTGTAAGTCATAAAAAAGGAATATATTAACCTGTTATGGTTTTGAAATATTTTCCACAGTTTAAATAAGAATAAATACATTTCTAAGTATGTATGCATACATATATACATATATACTTATACATGTGTATGTATATACAGTAATACTGTATCATGATTTAAAAGATGGGTAGATATTGAATTATTGCTTACCAACCTCTAGCTTGTATTCTTTAACATTTTAATGGATGAATAGGTATCATAGACTCCAGAAAATAAAGGTTCCTCTCTATACGCAATCTCTTCAGTGCAAAAATTCATCACCTAATTGAGGGTGAAATACTATCATCAACTTCATTCTTGTGTCAGAATAATACCACATGTTCCTATACATCACTTGAGTGGAAAGTTATTTCAAGTCTTATACATTTAAAGGTGTTAGCTAGAAAAGTGAGGATAGTACTTACTGAGGAGATGGAAGATTGAGAGATCAAACATTGAATTGAAAGACAAAGACCAGTCTTATTTTGGTTTTAACCATATGACTTCTCACACAAAAGATTATATTAAAATAAAGGACTTCCCCAAATGTGGTTTTATAATTTTAGACTTAGTATAAAAATTATTTTATTTAGATTTTTTTTATTTCAGTGACCCTCTAGTATCTGTTTTTCTTTTTTACATCAATTTTTCTCCCTTAAAAAATGAGAGTAATAATTCATTTTCTGTTTACTTCACAGAGTTCCTGTGAGGATTAAATAAGATCATAGTGATTTTTAAGGAAACATCTTTAAAAAGTAAAAAGCTCTAGAAGCACTGAGCATTCTTATGATTTTAGTTGCCACATATCATAAATCACTTTTGCAATCCAGGCACTAGAGATCTGAGATCAGTTGCCATGCTTGTTTTCTTGTTTTTATTTTGTTTTATTTTATTTTAAAGAGTTTGACAAATGTTAGTCAAGTTATTCACATTGGACTAAGAAAGTCATCAGAAGGTGTTTGAGTAATGCCAAAACCTAAACATTGTAACAAGTATTTTCATGGTGTTTTAGTTGCAATTTACAGAGCCCTGCCCTGGCTCACATGAGAGAAAGCAGAATTAACTGAAGGAAGAACTGAACACCTTAGCTGGGAGAAGGCAAGAACTAATAAAGTTCCAGAAGTTGAGGAAGCAGGAACAAATTGATGATCTCCTGCTGATGCTTTGATCAATCAGCTCCAACCCTCTTCCCAGTAACTGTGTCACCCAGTTTACAGTATAAAGCCCTGAGAGTGTCTAACAGGCCTAGCTGGGGTTACATGCCCACATCTTGTCTAGGGACAGATAGTAAATGTGAATGATACTCTTTCAAAGGATGCATACAAGAAGGAAAAAGAAATTGTTATTTGCTGCTAGAATAAGTGAGAGTAGATGCTAAGAAGTTAAAATAATTAAAGCAATAAATGTCAATTAAATAATTGTGTCTTAGGGCTTGTTGCAGAATATATCTGAGTAAGTTAGATTCCATGAAGAATTTCCAAATACTGGAGGATTTTTCAGTAGATTTTAAATGAGTGGTTTATGTTCTAATAATTTATAGAAAAATCTAATATTTAAATAATTGTGTCTTAGGGCTTGTTGCAGAATATATCTGAGTAGGTTAGATTCCATGAAAAATTTCCAAATACTGGAGGATTTTTTCAGTAGATTTTAAATGAGTGGTTTATTTTCTAATAATTTATAGAAAAATCTAATATTTAGATATATTTCTAAACTATAAATATAAATAAAGCTGTATATAATGTTTTATATATAAAACATTAACGGACACTTTTTCTTCTTTTCAGCTATATGTTCTTTAGAATTGCACTAAATTCTGATACTTTTCAATCAGATAGCATTTCCCTCCTTGTCTTTGAAAGGGTGTCTGGCTCTCAAAAGGCTAATATATTGTATACTTGGTTTTATCCTTAAAATAATGAAGAAATATTCATTCTAATTAGGCTAAATCTGCCCTTTTGATCCTAATTAGTGTCTATCAAAATGTTCAGTGCACTTATTTTTTAGAAATGCTGTCCTGATTTTAATAAAGTCTGTTAAAAAATGTCTCTCCATATGTTATAAAATAGAGTTCTAAACCAGATATCCGTCTTCAAGGCCACATGTTTATTCATTTTTATTTAAATATTTATCAAGCAACTCAGCACTTGCTAGCACTTAAGAAGCTCCCAGCCTAGTATTTGAGGAAATAGGGGCATTTCAACAAAATAATGCTTTAAGTATATGGAAGAAAAACTTAATTTGCCTAAGGGAATCTGGTAATGATTGTCAAATAAGGTCCTCTATAGTACTATACAGTTTCAAGTAGAAGATACTGTGGGTAAATATGGGGTACGTTAAGATGGTTGAAATATTTAGCAGGGTAAAGTGAAGTTCTTATCCCCTGTGGGTATTTTATATAGACAAGAACAGTAGTTAAAGTAATGCTAGCTATTGTAGCAAACAAAACTCTGTGCTTTAATACATAAGTTTATTTCTTGCCCAAATAACAGTTAAATGTGGGTGCTTCACATCAGTGCACAATTTTTCCACATATCGTAATTCAGGGACAGAGGATCCTCCTATCCCCTAAGAACTCCTGCATTCCAATAGTACAACAACAACAACAAACACTTCTCTACTAAACTGCCCTGGAAATGACATCTATGACTTCTACTTACTTTCTGCTGGTAAGAAATGGTCATATGGCCCCACGTGCCACTTTTCCCAATAACAATGGCTCTATTCTATGTAAAATAAATTATAGTTAGCTGTCCTGCTCAGAGGTAAAAATGAAAAGATAAATGAGAGAGAAAGAGAGACAGAAAAAGAGAGAGAGAGAGAGAGAGAGGAAAAGTTGACATGGAAATTGCAGTAAAATATAATGATACCACCAATGACACAAACAAAAGCAATTGATATTTTTGCAGACTAAGAATAACAGAGTGGGGAAGAATTTGAGGCTCACATTCCTTTGCATTTTCAAAAGTATTTATTTTAGACCTTGATTTCTCTTGAAAATGGATAAACAATAAAAACAAAATACATCTATATATTTCAACATACCTAAATCTCAAAATCTTACAGTGATATTGGAAAAATGCAAAAGTATATGCAAGATGTGAACAATATTATACCAATTACATAAAATAAAGCACAAAATCTCCATCATGTTTATGGATGAATACATATGTAGAAAATATATTCTAATACGGAGTGGAAAAATGTATACTAAATTCTAAATTTTTGCTAATAATTTTTTCTGGGAATGGAAGTAAAAGTAAAGAAGTGTAGGAATATCTTTCAACTTTATCAGTAAAATATTATTTCATATAAGAGATTAGAATAATATGTGGCAAAATGTTAATATCTTTTCATTTGTGGTAGTGAGTATATGGTTGTTTGTTGAAGATTGTGTTTTCCAAATGAAAGAAAACATGCAAATTTAATTTAATCCTTTCCTTAAAAACAAGGAATATATGGTACACACTTAGGGCATTTTTGTACTTGTGAGGTAGTATTAGTTAGCTATTTTTACATCTGAGAGTTTATTGCATAATCTTTCGTGAGATTTTAAAAAAAAACCTTTGGACAATATTGCTGAGTGTAGTTTAAACTGGGAAAATACAGAATTATTAGCCAGGAGTGCATTGTATGATTGGATTTAGTATAATTAGACTCTCTTCTAGCCTATCTAAGGGCTTTGGAGAGCAAAAGCAAAAGATTAACTAACTGCTCACATGGGTCCCAGGAAAATACAAAAGCACTACTGTTTAACAGGAAAGTTACTATCCAGAAATTAACCCACAAAGGTGGGAAGAGTATTTACCCGCTAATCTCTTTATTCCCTCGCCTGACAAAATATCTGCATTCCTGGGCGGCCTCAAGGTAAGAGAACAAAATGCCGGCTGCCTGTTCATTTCCTTTCTCTATATTCTTCTCTCTATATTCTTCACACATGGTTCATAAAATAGAAACTCTAACTTTAGGACAGGTTGTGGAGAAAGCTTCTTACTTTCTCTCTAGCCCTGGTTTAGCCTACATCTTTGATGTAGCTGTGACTTATCTCAGTGGTGAGAAGGTGCATTAATGGTGCCTGTTTTAATTAATGAAAGGACTGACAAGACTCTGATAAAAGTAAGGAATACAGTGTAGGAGGAGGAGATAGTATAGGTAAGCATCAAGAAAGTCTGAGACATCCAGGCTCAGCTTCCAACATCTATTTTGTATCACACAAAGCATGCTTCATTGCTGGGTCACAAACCACCAAAATATGTGTGATATACCTTGGTCTCTGGAAAGCCATATTCTCATCCATAGGGGGATATTTTGTATTATTCCTGGTCACCTAATCAAACCAGGCTGGAAAGGAAATCAAAATAGTATAAGAGAAGCCAGGTGCAAAACATCAGTCTGAACATTTTTTATAGACAATGTTGACAAGATAATACAGACTATCCCCTACATGTGGCACCTTTGCATGGAACTGTGTTGATCAACAATTGTGACATTTTTAGTTTGGTTTGCCAACAGTCAGCATCATGTCTCCAGATAGCTTCAGCAATGAGAACAGGGTTGTAACTGAACAACAGAAATTCACCCTATACGTGTACACAAGGGCTCTATGGGCCAGTAAATAGGTGCTTTTTCTCTTCTCTGTGCTTCGTAGTACTATATCTATATGGTTCATGGTACAAATCTCAGGAGAGCAAGTCTTCCTGTAACAGCATTTCCTCTGTGACTAAGGAGACAGGTCAGCTTGATGAAAAGAGATTTACTAGCTTGTAGATTTCAGGCAGCATTCTGAAATCTGTTTTTTCTTCTGAAACAGAAGCATTCTTCCATCCTGTTTTATTAGTAAAAAGATGAATGATTAGTCTCCATTTAAGTCTTCTATTTTTCAATATAATTGAGAATCCAAAAACGAAAATGTTTGCATGGAGAGGTTCCCTAGAAGTTAGTAGACCTCTACATCACTATTGATTCTACCTTTTTCTTTGGAGAAGAAACATGTTAGAGTAGCATGACTTTTTCAACTCTCATTTTCATCCCTGTCAAGCTAGGGGACTGGTATAAGAAACACTGTAGTATTTCTCTAAGGTTATTCTAGGGAGTATCAACATTAGAATCACATGGAGGACAACACATGGAGTTCTCCAAGTGGGACCAAGTGATCTGGCTACTTTACCAATCTCTAGATAACTTTTCTTCACTAATGTTTGGGAACTGTGTTTACAAATTTCATTTTTTGTGTTTGCTTTCTTTTCTTGTTTATCCCTCTTACTCATAGCATTTATCTCTCTTCTTGTACAGTACTCCTTTTTCTATTACTGTCACTTTAGTGGTGTGTGAGACAATGAGGATTTAAAATAGTCTTTTTTAAAGGTTATGTATTTGGAATCTAATATGAAAACCTCTTCAGGTCAACTAATAACTAAGATTTATTGAAGTTGCACTGGGTTCCATCTTTTGTTTAAAGTTACTTTCATATATGAACTCTTTTTATACTTAAAACATTCTTTGATATAGGTTTCAATATTATTATCATTACAATTTTATTGATGAAGAAATGCAGGAACAGCTAGGTAGAGTAACTTATCCAATGTTACACAGCTGGAAAGCAATGCATTCAAATCTAACTCCTTTTAAACACCACTCTGCTGGTTGATTAGGGGTATGTTGCCATCAAAATCTACACAATTTACATGGTATGGACTCTTTCTGTAGGTGGCACGATGTCTGTCACTAAAACAAATTGAGTGTTCAGAAACTCTAAACAATTTATTTAACTGTGAGCATACTCTTTGGACTCATCTTTACACCACAGTAAAATAAGAGGTGGAACCACTTGCCCATCTGTGCTAACTTCTTGCTAGTGTTAAATCATTTTGCTTATATTTGACTTTGATTGCTTCACCAGAAATGAACTACAGACATCTATTCCCTTTGTGATACCTCCTTGGAATCAAAGTGTGGAGTGTAACAATGTGCCTCCACACACTCACACTAGTTGATGCTTCATCTTGGTGAAATCAAGTTTTTGGAATTACCTTTCCTAAGATCATTCTATTCACAGAGAAGGAGCTTAATGTAAGTGAAATTTTGTAAAAACCAAAGGTATGTACCATTTATATGTTGCCCAACATATAAATACTGAGAGAGTAAAATGAAAACTGTAGCAAGGAAGAAATCACCTCATCTTAGTGGGGTAACGTTACAGGCTTTTTTTTATTAATGGAAGATAATAAGATAATGATGTGGTTTCTGTGGATAATTAACATTTTAATTGAAGAATCCCTGGTCCCATAGTAGAAATCTGTTTTTCCAGAAATAACTGTTTCTTATGTTCCCTGCAGAGGTCCTCAGTGTACAAAATCTTTCAGTATACTGGGATGAAAAGCTCTTACTGGGGGGACATTTTTTGTCCTTTATAGGTAAACAATTAAACAAAAGCTACTTTTTATAGTGAAATGTAACATCCATAGATAAAAGTGCATTAAACACAAATTTAGAGTTTAATGAATAATTATAAAGTGAAATATGTAATCAACAGCTGATAAAGAAGGAGAGCACTACCAGGAATGTGCAAGTCATAAGATTTCACAGTAACAATTGCCTTCCTCTCCCTAAGAGTAACCACTATTCTGATATTTATGATAATTACTACCTTGCTTTTTAAAATATCTTTACACTATTTTTTAGTTTTTCACAGTTTTGATGTTTTCATATAAATGAATCATACAGTAGGTAATATTTTATGTCAGACTTCTTAATATTTGTAAAATTTACCTATTTTGTCGCATAGGCATAATTTGTTCATTTTCATTCATGTATAAAATTCTCTTACATAAATATTCTTCAATTTATTTATCCATTCTTCCATTACAGTTCATTTTTATTTTTCTATTTTGTGGCTATCAATAATAATGCTTCTATGTACATCCTTGAACTTGTGTTTTGGTGCACTTTTGCTTGCCTTTCTGTTGGATTATAGACCACATGTATCATCAATACAAGTAAATAATATCAAAAATTTCAGTCACACCAGCAGTAAATGAAAATTCCTATTACTATTTATTCTCACAAATATGTGATATAATCACTTTTCAAAATTTAAGTTAATTTTGAAATAATTAAGCATGTTAAGTGTTTATACTGAGATTCTGTTAATTTTAATTTGTATTTCCCCATCTACTGATTATTGGACATTGCAATATTTATTTTAGGGGAAGTGTGTGTTCAAATTTCTTAGACATTTTTCTACTGGTCTATGTTTTTCCTGTCATATTTATATGTTATGTAATTGTATTGTCTTGTTTCACAAATATATTCTCCTACTTTGTTCCTATATTTTCACTGGCATAACTTTTTTGATAAATAGAAACTCTTAGATTTAATATGGCTAAATTGAAAAATATTTTTCTTTATAGTTAGTACTTACAATATCTTGTTTAAGAAATATTTCCCTAAAGTGAGAAAATTATCCTAAAATAAGCTTTACTTTTTTCTTTCACATTTACATTACTGTGGGTGTATGTATTATATATATTATATATATGCAAAATAGATACTCATATGTATGTCTTTTATACTTTTATATATAGACACACACATGTGACTTCAGAGTGCCAGCTTTTTTATAAATCAAATGTTCATATATTAATATATTTCTGAATGCTTTCATTTTTATATTATTCTAATTGTCTATCTTTTATAATAAGCTTTGCTAACTTGTAGAATAAGTCTTGTTTTTCCTCTAAAATGTCTCGCCTATTCTTGGCTTGGTGTATTTCCAGATAAATTTTAGAATAAGATGATCAGGTTTAAGAAAATAGCTTGTTGGGATTTTGATTGAGTTTGCATTTGTACACACAGAAAAAAACATAAGATTTTATCTCTTTGCAATATTGAGTCTTCACATCCATTGGCATGGCTTATCTTTCCATTTGTGTAATTATGCATTTCTTGTTAAGTGTTTTATTTGTGAAGATGTGTGAATGTATTTGGGTATATTTATTTCTATGTATGAAAAATTTAATGCAATAATACATTTTATTATTTTATTTGTTTTTTCCCCTTTTTAATTCTTAAATTTTGTTTGTTTTTGGATCTTTTGTTTGTTTTTGTTTTGGTAGAAATGGGATTTCACCGTGTTGTCCAGGGCGGTCTCAAACTCCTAAACTCAGGGCATTCGCCTGCCTCGGTCTTTCAAAGTCCTGGGATTACAGGCGTGAGCCACCTTGCCTGGCCAAAGCTTTTATTTTCTTTCTATGCCTTGTTGAAGTGATTAGGCCTTCCAGTAAAATGAAGACAAGAAATGGTTCTCACAGAAATCTTTATCTCATACCCAATCTCAGGGCGATGGCTCTGAAAGTTAATCATTAGTTGTGATATTTTCTATAAATTTTTGTGGATACTATTATCAAATAAAAAAATTCCCGTTTATTATTTATTTGCTTAGAGTTTTTATCTTTTATTGATGTTGAATTATGTCAAGTGCTCCTCTGTATATCTGAAATAAACATACAATTGCTGCCATTTATTACTTTAATGTGGCAAAGAACATGACAATTGTTCCAATATTGAATGTATCTTTATATTTTTGGAACTAAGCAAAATTCAGCATAATATGCTGCCCATTGTTTATATTGGTGGTTTTGATTTTCTAGTATTACGTTTAGCATTTAGTACCTGTGCTCGTAAATGAGATTAAACTGCAATTTTTTAAAGGTAATGTTATTAATTGATTTTGATATACTGGTCTCATAGGTAAGTTGAATGCTTCAATGACCATTCTTTGAAAGAATTTGTTTGTGTTTAGTATTATTTCCTGTTTATAAGTTTGGCAAAATTGTCTTGTGAAGCCATCTGGGCTTGTAGATTTTTAATTATCAGTTTAATTATTTTAGTGGTTATAGGATTATTTAGAATTTATCTTTGATTTTAGATCACTTTGGGTAGGTGGTATTTTCCTGGGAATTTGTCTGTTTTATCTTAATAGCAAAAACTTATATACATTTTATAATATTCTCATATCTGTGTAATATTCCCAGGATCTATAGTAATACTCTATTTTTATTTGTGACATGGGTTGCTAAAAAACTATTTTACTTTTAAAATGAATAAACATTATTCTGTATCTTCTTATTTTTTATCTTGATCAGTATTAGCAAGTGTTTATTCTTAATTTTTTTCAAAGAACAAAATGTTAACTTTATTTACCTTTTCTATTTTATATTAGTTTTCTGTTCACTTATACTTATTCTTGCACATGTTATTTTATCTCTCTAATTTCTTTGGGATTATTTTGGGTTTTTAAAAAATGTATTGAGATTACTACTTAGCTTATTATTATTTCTTCTAATATGTAAATATAAGCAAACACATTTCTCCTTAAGCTTGCTTTAGTTTCCTGCATTTCCACACTTCGATATACCAATATTATTTTATTACAGTTCAAAATTATTTTATTTTCCATTTTGAAATATTCTATGACTCATAAATTTGGAATATGTTTTTAATTTCCCAGTATGTTGAATGCTTAAATTATAGTTGATTCTCACTATTCAGGGATTCCATATTTTCACATTCACCTATTCACTACAGTTTATTTGTAACCCCCAAAGCAACACTTGGGGTGCTTTTGCTGTCATTTGTGAACGCATAGAGAAAGGAAAAACATTTGAATGATACCTATTCTCAACTGAGGTTAAACAAGGGGACATCCGCCTTCTTGTTTTGGCTCTCACACTATAAACAAGTGTCCCATTGCAACTTTTTTTAGCGAAATTCTTTGTACATTATTGTTGGTTTTGCTGGTCATTTCACTATTTAAGATGTACACCAAGCATAATGCTGACATATTGTCTAGTATTTCTAAGTACAAGAAGACATCATGGGTCTTACTGAGAAGATACGCTTGTTACATAAGCTTCATTCAGGCATAAATTATAGTACTTTTGGCCATGAGTTCAATGTTAATGAATCAACAATATATACTTAATAAAGTATCTTTAAACAGAAATGCACATAAAATAAGGTTATGTATTTATTGATTAATAAAATGTTATAAGCAGAGGCTTACGGGAAGCTAACCTTGTATAATATTTTCCCTAGGAGCAATGGTTCAGTATTCACTAATTAAGTGTTCACTGAAACTTTACAGAACATAACTACCATGCATAACAAGAATTGACTGCGTGCTTTTGTTATTGATTTCTACCTTTATTGTGTATGTTCAGAGAATGCATTCTGATATTAATCTTCTTAAGTAAGTTGAAATCTGCTTTATGCTTCAGTATATGATCAGACTGTAAATTGTTTTTGTGTCCTGAAAATGTCCAAGTGGGCCCTAGATTCTCACTTTGATCTCAGAAATGCTACTCTTCTGTCAGCTGCAAAACCTGCAATGAGCAGATATGTACAGACAGCATGTGTCTCCAAAGAACAGGCTCAGCTCTCTGGATTCTGTTTCTTATGGATTGGGGCTTGGTCATTTCTCCCTATTTTGCTGGTTCTCTGATGCATTAAAGCAGATTTTTATATTAGGTGCAGCTTTTTCAGTTGTTCTAGGTATACTTATATAACTTATTTGATTAACATGGACTATCAGTAATAGAAGTAAATATTGATTATTAACTTTTAAATTAGGGAAGATTTAAAAGTTCATAAAGGGCTTTTAAGATAAATAAACACACAAAATGAATATTTTGATACCATAATAAGTAACTCATATATTTTATATGTAAATAACCTATTTAATGAATATTTCCCCATCAGAAAAATTATTAGATTTTAATTTAAAATATGTAATTATGTAATTAATTTTATACGTGATTTTAAAACACAATCTTACTAAATTAATAATACTTAAACATTTAATTCAATTATATATTGACTATATTAATAAATTTAATTGATTTTTCCAAGTTATGATATTAAGGCATTCAATTCTTTTTTGGTAGAATATAAAAGTATGGCAAAAAGGCAAATTTTAAAATTTGTTCGGTATTAAACTTTTGGATAATGTAATTAATCTTTAGAAGCTACATTAGAAGTCACTATTAGATTTTTCTATGTTTATAAACAAAATTTTTAAAGCTGTTAAGTATAACTTGAAAGATAAACCAGAATCATTTTGCTTTTATAAATATAACAAATTGTATATTTACCTTTAAAACCAAAGTAACTACAGAATTTATTATTTTTTTCATTTACAAAAGCACCTTCATGGACATCTCACTTCAGCTTTCTTAATTATCAATGCAGAATAGTCCAGGATAAACTTAACAATAATGATTGGTACTGACATTTAAGATATTCAAAATGAAAGACTCCATACATTAACAAACATTCAAATTTTTAACATAGTTCTTGGCATCCAATTAGTTGTTAATTATAATCATTTTGTTGAAGTGTCTACTTAGAGTCTATAATTATAAATGCTGTTTATTTTCTAAACCAAAGAAGTTATTTAATATCCTATTATTTTAGTAAAATGTAAAGTATCTGAGAACAAGTTTTTCTATTTCGTTCATGGGTGGATGTCTACTATCAGGAATGAAAAACAAAAATAAAAATCGGAATGAAGATGTAGTCAATTTTTTTTTGTTTGTTTATTTGGTTTCTGTGTATAATAAAGAAGAAATTGAATTCAATCTATGTGTATGTTGATGGGAAGGATCCAACAGAGGGAAAAACAAAATGAATGGTATATGAGAAGAAGCAGATAATTGTTGGAACAAAATTCTACAGTAAACAAGATGAATAGCATCTAGTGTATGCATAGGGTGCCTGCATTTACTGGAGAAGAAATGACAGTTAATGAACTGTATGTAGCAAGAGCAAAGGAAGACCGTATCATTATTTTAAACAGGTTTTGCTGATTGCTTTTTTGGAAGACGTTTTTTTCTCACGTAATAGTTTTAATATTCTCACTGAGTAAGAAGTAACTTTATTAGGTCAGCATGTTTTGGAAAGGATTAAAAAAATGGTTTTGAAAGTGTGAGAAACAAAGCAAATGTACAAAACATTGAAGGAAGGAAAGTGATATTTGTCCTCCTGAATTTATTGTTACCAGGAGATACTGAGGACTGAATTATTGGTAACCCAGAATGTTGAAGGAAGTGCGTGGATTACTTTAGCTTCCCTTCATTTTGTAAAACAGAATAGAGTTCAAAACTTTATCGAATCAAGTGGATTTTGATAAAGCAATCAACCATGCTCCTCATCATTATTAATCTTATTAAACTTTCTAACTGAAAATGTTTAAACATGACATTTAAAAATTTAGGTGACATTTTTAAAAAAATTGTATTGATCTATAATAATCCTACATACTTATGGGGGTACAAATGATATTTTGTTACATGTATAGAATGTGTAATGATCAAGTCAAGGTATTTAGGGTATATATCACCTTGAGTATTTATCATATTTATGTGTTGGGAACATTTCAATCCTTTCTTCTAGCTATTATGAAATATACAATATTCAAGTTTTATTAACAACAATCATCCTAGTCTTCTATTTAATATTGGAATGTACTTTTTTCTATTTAACTCTATGTCTGTATCAATTAGCCAACCTCTCTTCATCACTCCTTCTTGCCTCCCCCACACACAATCTTCCTATCCTCAGGTAACTATCACTCCACCCTACCTCCATGAGATCATTTTTTTTTAGCTCCTACATATGAATGAGAAGACCCAATATTTTTCTTTCTGTGTTTGGCTTAACATAATGGCCTCCAATTCTATCCATGCTGCTGCAAATGACAGGTTTTTATTCTTTTTAGGACCTAGTAGCATTCCGTTGTGCATATATACCACATTTTCTTTATCCATTCATCTGTCGATGGACACTTAGATTGATTCCTTATCTTTGCCATTGTCAATAATGCTTCATAAACACGGGGGTGCCGATATGCCTTTGATACACTGATGTATTTTCCTTTGGATAGATACCCAGTAGAGGCACTGCTGGATTGTATGGTAGTTCTATTTTTAGTTTTTTCAGAAATCTCCCTACCCCATTGTATTAGTCCATTCGCACACTACTAATAAAGACATACCTGAGACTGGGTAATTTATAAAGCAAAGAGGTTTAATTGACTCACAGTTCAGCATGGCTGAAGAGGTCTCAGGGAACTTACAATCATAGTAGAAGGGGAACTTAACACGTCTTTCTTCATATGGCAACAGCGAGGAGAAGTGCCGAGCAAAAGGGGGAAAAGCCCCTTATAAAACCATCAGATCTCGTGAGAATTCACTCACTATCAGGAGAAGAGCAGCATGGTGGTAACAGCCCTCATGATTCAATTACCTCCCACCTCGTCCTCCCATAACACGTGGGGATTATGGGAACTGCAATTCAAGATGAGATTCCAGTAAGGACACAGCCGAACCATATCCCACAGCAACTGTGTATAAGAGTTCCCTTTTCTTCACATCATTCCCAGCATCTATTTTCTTTTGCCTTTTTAATAATGGCTATTCTAACTATGATAAGATAGTATCTCATGGTGGTCTTGATTTGTGTTTCTCTGATGATCTGTGATATTGAGCATTTTTTCCATATACTTGTTGGTTATTTGTATGTCTTCTTTTGGAAAATGTCTATAGATATTTTTTGCCCATTTTTAAATTGGATTATAGTTTTATTGCTGTTGAGTTGTTTAAGTTCCTCTTATATTCTGAATATTATTCATTTGTCAGATGAATAGTTTGCAAGTATTTTCCCATTCAATAAGTTGTCTCTTCATTCTTTTGATTGTTTATTTTACTCTGCAGAGCCTCACAGTTTAATATAGTCCTATGTATTCAGTTTTGTTTCTGTTGTCTGTCCTTTTGGGGTCTTAGCCATAAAATCTTTGCCTAGGCCAATATCTTATAGTGTTTCTTCTGTTTTATTCCATTAGTTTTATAGTTTTGGGTCTTATGTTTAGGCCTTTAATCTATTTTGAGTTTATTTTTGTGTATAGTGAGAGATACGGGTCTAGTTTCATTTTTCTGCATATGGATATCCAGTTTTCTTGGTACCATTTATTGAAGAGGGTGTCCATTTCTAAATATATATTTTTGGAACTTCGTTGAAAATCAATTGGTGGTAAATTCGTGAATTCATTTTCGGATTCTCTAGTCTGATTCATTAGTTTATGTATTAGTCAGTGTTCTCCAGAAGGACAGAACCAATTGGAGATACATATCTGTCTATCTATCTATCTAATCTATCTATCTATATAAGTTTATTAGGGAGAATTGGCTCACATAATGACAAGGTGAATTCCCACGATAGACAGTCTACCTTTTTCAACCCTTTTACTTTGAGTTGATATGTGTCTTTACAGGTGAAGTGAGTTTCTTGTAGGCAGCATATAATTGGGTCATTTTAATAATCCATTCAGGTAGTCTACATTTTGTCAGTGGAAAATTTAATCAATTTACATTCAAGGTTATTATTGATATGTGAGGACTTACTCTTGTAATTTGTTGATTGTTTTCTGGCTATAATGGGGGATCCATTATATGTGACTAGATATTATTCTCTTGTTTTTATTAGAATTCTATCTTTGTCTTTGACTTTTGATAGTTTTACTGTAATGTGTCATGGAGAAAAACTTACTAGGTTGCATTTGTTTGGATTTCTCTAAACTTCCTATATCTGGATGTCTAAATCTCTTGCTAAATTTTGGAACTTTCCAGCTATTATTTATTTAGGCTTATAAACCTATTATGCTTAGGTTTATAAAACTATTGTGTTAAATAGGTTTTCTATGATTTGGTCTCATCTTCCTGTTTTCAACACTCAATATTTGTATATTTGGTCACTTTATCATATCCCACATGTCAAGTAAGGTTTTTTTTATTGTTTTATTTATTTATTATTTTTGGTCTGACGGTTTTTATTTTGGGGCTATTTTTAAAGATCAGTCTTCAAGTTTTGGGACACTTTTTTTTTCTCTAGTTTATCACTGAAGCTCTCAAATAAAGTTTTTATTTTATTCATTGAATTATTTGGTTCTAAGATTTGTGTCTTTTTAAAATATCTATTTTTGTGGTGAACTTCTCACTCACATCTTGAATTGTTTTTCTGATTATTTAGTATTGTTTATCTGAGTTCTCCTGCATCTCACTGAGATTCTTTAATTGCTGAATTTTAATACCATTTTTTGAATTTTTTCAGCCTTTTATAAGCTTTTTTAAATTGACATCTGTTACTGGGGAATAATTATGTTTCTTTGGACGTATCATATAGTATTTTTTCAGGTTTCTTGTGCTCTCTTATTAATATCCGTGCACTGGTTTAATAGTCACTTCCAATTTATTGGACTGGCTTATATGGGGAAAGACATCTTCCTGAAGATATATCTATTGTGTTGGTTAACAAGGAAGAACATACCAGCTTTAATTCTGGGTTCATGCAGTAGCATAGTCTCCATATGAGTTCTTTAGCTGTAAAAAATATCAGCTTTGTCTGTGATTCCCTTAGTGACATAGGCTGTGGTTGTTAATGGAGGCTGTGGTGAGGCTTTGCCACAGACAAGGATACCAGTCCCTAGACCCCAGTGGTAGCAGTACTGGGCTGAATGTGTCTGTCCTTGGACTTCCTGGTGGTGTATGCAGACATGACTGTTAGTGGGTTCAAACGGGCCAATTATTGGGCCTCCAGGCAGATTACTTAGTTGTTAGTAGTAACAGTGATGGGCTAGGTAAGTGGGCAGGTCCTCAGTCCACTGGGTAGTATGCATGGAATGGACAATGACAGTAGCAGTGAAGAGTCAACCATTAGACTCTGAAGTGGCAGATATTGGCATTTTTTAATGTACGATTTTTGCTAAATTTGAGGGATATATATATATATATATATATATATATATATATATATATGTACACATTTTTTTGAGACAAAATCTCACTCTGTCGCCCAGGCTGGAGTGCAGTGGTGTGATCTCAGCTCACTGAAACCTCTGCCTCCTTGGTTCAAGCAATTCTCGTGCCTCAGCCTCCCAAGTAGCTGGGATTACAGGCACGCACCACTGTGCTCAGCTAATTTCTGTATTTTTAGTAGATATGGAGTTTCAACATGTTGGCCAGGCTGGTCTCAAACTCCTGACCTCAAGTGATCCACCCGCCTCAGCCTCCCAAAGTGCTGGGATTACAGGCATGATCCACCGCGCCAGACAGAGGGAGATATATTTGTATTTATAGACTGTCTACAAAGAATGAATTCTGAAACTGACTATGCTTGTAGTTAAATGTTCAAGTTCAAATTATTGAGACTATGCTTCAAATGAACTATACTTCAATTAAAACTAGATGTATGGGATATTTCTAATATCTAGTATTCTAGATATTAATATCTAATACTAATATCTAGTATTCTAGATATTAATATCTAATACTAATCTCTAGTATCACAAATGTAGATACAATAAAATGTAAACAATGTAGCTATTAAATATGATTACAGAAAATGTTCTATTTATTTTTGTTTATAATTTTTCTCCATTTTTCAGATGTATTGGTAGATTTTAGATGTTATAAAATGTGTTAAATGAGGCTCCTAATAATTAATTTAGTAATATTTGACTGATAATTTCTGATATTAGCATTACTAAGAAAATTCTAATTTGACCACAATGCACAATAAATTTTATTTAATAGAGTCAGAATAATTTAATTTTCAAATGATAAAGCTTGGGTAGGTTTTATCAAATTTTTAATTACTACAGTGAGTGGTGTAAAACAATTGATTAACATTTGTAATAAATACACATATGTTTATGATGTTTTAAAATGAATCAGAAATGAATTCTCACATGAATTTCAGAAATTGGCAATATTCATTAAATACTGCCATCTATGTTAACACAGAAAAGTGTTTCAAGCAATTTATTTACAAACGTATGAATAAAATTTACTTCATAATTCAACAGGTCTATTCTTTGTATAGCATCTATAGGCACAAAAAAGGGTCAAAGGATTATGGTTATTTCCTTATTTAATTATCAGAAAATTACATTAATACAGTAAATGTAGTCTCTGAGAAACAATCCCTGAAACTTGGACCTCAGTCATGCCTCATTTCTACTACCTCTTTTTGAGTGTCTCTCTCCTCCACTGCCCTCATGGCTGGGAATAGCCACCTTGCCCCACTTCCCATTTCTCACCTTTTGTAAGGGAAATCCCATGGAAAGACAGGTTCTGGAACCTAGCAAGGTGCAGTGCAAGGCAGAGTAACTATTTTCTCCTCCTCCACATTAATACTAATAGAATAAGAAGTAATTGTTTGTCACTTTATACTGCCATCACAAGAAATGCATGTAAAATGTTTATTCCTCATCAGCTTACACAGGGCAGGTTCCTTAAGCCAACTCTCAACTCTTTTATGGGAGTAACTTTTTCCCCTGAACTTTTTGAAAGACAAAAAAAAAAAAAGATTGAGCAAGTAAACTGATTTCTAGCCAAAATAATAAAGTTACAAATGGGTAGTAAAGGCAAGTATGAATAAAATTCAGAGGAAGGGACACCAACTTGGCTGAAGTGATCAGGAATAGCATAGGATAGTGATAATGAGCATAGCCTTTATCTTTTTGGAAGTTTGAAAGATATGCATCTTAGTAGAGGTTGAAAAGGGGTATTTTATTTAGTTACTGAATTGAATCTTATTACTGCACAATTGTATTAAATTGCATGTACTGTATTTCCCATACAACTGTCTCTGGTTATATGGGAAAATAGTTAATATATTACCAACATTGACTTTTATAGACTGTAAAACACAGGGAGAATAAAACCATTTCCATTTTTGTCTTATCTAGAAATAAATTTCATGAAATCATATCTAGGAATTCTGATTGAAACGTGATGGATTATATAATGTTTTGAATTTTTCTCCTCTTATCTCAGGAATTGTCCAAGAACAAGAAGAAGAATGAATGACAAAAACATAACTACCATTTCAGACGACCGTGAAATCCATGATTCCAAACTATATAATGCAGGGAAGAATTACCCTAAGTAATAAAGGCTGGACAAGGTCATTGGCTGGGATTATTTTGAAAATATTTAATAAAAAGAACGCCTCAGGAATTAACCAATTGGAACAGATTTTGTGGCTAATCAAAACAGATACTAATCATTAAAAAACAAAAATCAAACTGAAATATCTCTGGCACATTCTATTGGCTACAACCCAGCATTAGTCCTCGAGGCCTAGTCCAGGAAAAAAACAGGGAGTGATGCTGTAGGCCGTACTACAGAACTAGGAGTAAAGCAAATGTTAAAGAGAAAGCATATGTTAAAATCTCAGAAAATGTAGACGTGCTATAACTACAAAAAATAACTAAAGGGGAATGAAGAGTGAAAAATGTAGTGAAATAACCTGTTTCCTCATCTTTTAAAATTTAGTGTTAACAATAACTCTTTAATAGATAAAATATTGAAGATGGCCCATTAGAAGCAGTGGCAGTGCCAAATTGTTTTCCAGTTTATATTCCTATAAGCAATTTTTGAGGATTTCATTTGTTTAATATCCTCTCCTACATTTTTATATTGTCAGTATTTTAAAACATTAGATATTTTGATGGATGGATGATAGTATCTCACTGTGGCTTTAATTTGTACTTCCTTGATGAGTAACGATGGTGAGCATGTTTTCATGCACTTATTTCCCATTTGATAATTCTCTCTTAAGTGACTGTTAATGTCTTTTGTCCATTTATTTGTTGGGTTGTCTGTCTTTATCTTACTAACTTTTAGAAGCTCTTTAGATCTTTAGACATTAAGTATATGAGTACCTTTCCAAAAATATGCAAATATCTTCTCCTGATTTGTGCTTATCTCTTTTACTCACTTTTTCTGATGAATGGAAATCCTTAATCTTAATAGTGTCTAATTTATTTTGTTTGTTTTTTTTTACTTTGGGTTAGTGCTTTTAATTTCTTATTAAAAATTTCATACTTTACTGTCAAAAGTTATTTTCCTATGTTTTCTTCTAAAACTTTTATGTTTTACTTATCAGTTTTGTCTGTAATCCATCTAGCATTGATCTTTGAGTGCAGTGTGAAGAAAATGTCAAGATGACTTTTAAAATATTTTTAAGCAATAAATAGGCATTCAGTGGCATTCAGTGGGGAGGAGAATTGTTTTAGAATGACTCAAAATCTAGATTCCTTTAAGGAAGCATTTATGATAAATTTGACAACACAAAGCCAAAAAGAAAACAATCAGTTTCTTTGAAAAAAATTATGAAGAATGTCAAAGAACAAACACTAAATTGGAGAATAACATTTTGCATGAATGATTCTCTCATTTTTTGCATGTGGTAGCATCTACAAATCAACAGGAAAAATACCAATTACTCAATATCATTTTTATATATTAGTTAAGATATAGATGAAGCTTCTGTAACAAATGTCAAAATAACAATAGCTAAAACAAGACAGCTTTTAAAATTAGTTTCGTGTGTGTGTGTCATAAAATCATGTGTGTATAAGCAGGCCAGGCCTTCTACTGTTGTCTGGTCTTCCAAAAAATATGATTTCTATTCAAGGCTTAAAATAGCTGGTCTGTCTTCCTCCATGTTGTACAAATATTAGTCAGTATCAAAAAGATAAGGCAGTGAGAAGAGATATCCCTTTTCAAAAAACAACTGAGAGGTCACACACGTTTCTCTTTGCATCCCTTCTGTGAAAATTTAGCCATCTACCCACAGGGAAAGTTGGAAATGATTATTCAATAAATGACAAAGGGGAATACAACTATTGAAGGCTCTAGGATTCTCTTTTTTCCAGGGAAAGACATATTGACATTTCATAGAAATTGGATCTCAAACACAATAAAATGACAAGATTAATCTAAGGAAAATGTAAATTTTAACCTCAAATATGTATTGTTTTAACCTACCTCATGGGCAAAGATCTAAAGTTTTGATTCTACATGTTGTGGGCAACGGTAGGGGAAAGAGGCACTTTTTCTATGTCTACACCCACCTGAAGAAAACATAAGCTGAAATACTGTCTATTGCAGTTACAATATTTATAAAAATTTTAAATTCACATATCCTTTCACCTAGATATTCTACTGCCAGTTATTTAGCTTCTGCAAATCCAAGCAACATAACAGGTGTGCCAGGAAACTCAGGACAGCATTGAAAATAATATACATGTTTATTAACTGAGGCAGCTTCTTATCAATCATGTTCTGGTGGAATACTATGCACAACTAAAAAAGAGTATGGCAGTTGTATTTAAAGTGATAAAAAAATAAAATGCTATTCTATGTAAGAACTTTTTTTTTCTTTTTTTTTGAGACGGAGTCTCGCTCTGTCACCCAGGCTGGAGTGCAGTGGCGTGATCTTGGCTCACTGCAAGCTCCACCCCCGGGGTTCACGCCATTCTCCTGCCTCAGCCTCCCAAGTAGCTGGGACTACAGGCGCCTGCCACCACGCCCGGCTAATTTTTGTATTTTTAGTGGAGACGGGGTTTCACCGTGTTAGCCAGGATGGTCTCGATCTCCTGACCTTGTGATCTGCCCACCTCGGCCTCCCAAAGTGCTGGGATTACAGGCGTGAACCACTGCGCCTGGCCAGAAATTTTTTTAAAAAGCAACAGATAAAGTAATATGCAATGTATAATAACTTTCTGTGTAAAAACAATAAAAATTGGCCGAGCATGGTGGCTCACGCCTGTAATCCTAGCACTTTAGGAGGCCGAGGTGGGCGGATCACCTGAGGTCAAGAGTTGGAGACCAGCCTGGCCAACATGGCGAAACCCCGTCTCTACTAAAAGTACAAAACTTAGCAGGGCATGGTGGCAGGCGCCTGTAATCACAGCTACTCAGGAGGCTGAGGCAAGAGAATCGCTTGAACCTGGGAGGCAGAAGTTGCAGTGAGCCGAGATCACGCCACTGCACTCCAGCCTGGGCAACAAGAGCGAGACTCCATCTCAAAAAAATAAAAAAATAAAAAAATAAAAAAATAAAAATAAAAATTGTATATGTGTGCGTATGTACATAATCTCAAACAATAAATTGGAAGAGGAATTTACAAAAAAATCTAGTAATGGTGGATGCTTCTAGGGAGAAAAATTAGGTTCTGTGGGGGCTAAGGCGAGAGAATGCTTAGTTTTACTTCCTTTCTTTTCACCCCTTTTGAATTTTTATTGCATGAATAATTACCTTTGCAAAGAAAATAAAAATCAGGTTACACTTAAGAGTGCTCAAAGATGAAAAAATATTCATTCATTGAAAGATGTTCCCAAATGTTAAACTAAGTCTAGTATTTAAATGTTATCTAAAATAGGCCTAAGATGTTTAATGTCAACTGAAAATAATGTTATCTCAAGTTAATGATTTTGACTGCCTTGTAAATACCAAGACAAAACCATAGTGTTTATTTTTAATGAAATCATACTGGTTTGCTTGAATACTTTTATGTTTCCTCTGAAATTATGTAAGTACACAATTTTTCTATGATTTTATCTGCAGCTTTAAAATGTGTATGCTGGCCGGGCGCAGTGGCTCATGCCTGTAATCCCAGCACTTTGGAAGGCCGAGGTGGCTGGATCACTTGAGGTCAGGAGTTCAAGATCAGCCTGGCCAACATGGGAAAACCCCGTCTCTACTGAAAATACAAAAATTAGCCAGGCATAGTGGTGCACACCTGTTATCCCAGCTACTTGGGAGGCTGAGGCAGGAGAATCCCTTGAACCTGGGAGGTGAAGGTTGCAGTGAGCCTAGATTGTGCCACCACACTCCAGCCTGGCTGATAGAGTGAGACTCAGTCCCAAAAAATAAAAATAAAATAAAATAAATAAAATGTTGAAGCTGATAAATGCTGAGTAACAAGCAAGCATTTGGAAAACCTATATTCTACTCTCTCTCTACATTACTACTGACCTAGTCTATGGTTTGAATATCTAATGTAATACCTTTCAAATTTCAGTATTTGCATACATGCATTTGGAAATATACTTATCTCACTTGCCACCTATTGACTTCATGATAGTGGGTAAGTAATATTTTTTGAAAATGATAACGGAAGTGAGAGAGGATCAGGAAAAATAACTAATGGGTACTAGGCTGAATACCTAGGTGGTGAAATGATCTGTACAACAAACTCCATGACACAAGTTTACCTATGTAACAAACCTGCGCATAGAGCCCTGAATTTAAAATAAAAGGTAAAAAAACAAAAAATCATAAAATGAAGCATTCTGCAGAGTGTGATCATGTCTCATGGTAACTTAAATTTAGGGATGTCCTCACAATGACTAAATTTACAAGAAACTGATTTTTTTCTAGTCTTCCATATATATTAAACAGAATGCTATTTTACTAATTTTTTTCTGAGAGTTATAAATGATTCAATTCTTCTTATAAGAAAGCAAGAAAAATTGCTAAGTGAGCTTTCTTAAAAAAAAGATTTGTTGATGGTTCAAACATTACCTTTCCATCTTCATAACAGAGATATAGCTTTTAAATGGGAAGCCCAAGATATTTTTGACAAGGAATTATTGGTGTTACTAAAAGTTTCTTCCTGAAAGTCTTATTCTCTGTTTCTGTTACTGATGAGAGTTGTTAATACAATTTTTTTTTCAACAAAACAGCTCCAAGTTTTTCACAACAGAACAAATTTTCCTTCTTACCTGCCACTCATTCAGCCGCATTCATTGGAGTCCGTGCTCTCCTAACCTTTTTTTTTTTTTTTTTTTTTTCTGAGATGGAGTTTCGCTCAGTTGCCCAGGCTGGAGTGCAGTGGCGTGATCTTGGCTCACTGCAACCTCCACCTCCTGGGTTCAAGCGATTCTCTTGCCTCAGCCTCCTGAGTAGCTGGGATTACAGATGCCTGCCACCATGCCTGGCTATATATATATATATATATATATATGGAGTTTTTTTTTTGGTATTTTTAGTAGAGACAGGGTTTCACCATCTTGGCCAGGCTCGTCTCAAACTCCTGACCTCAGGTGATCCACCTGCCTTGGCCTCCCAAAATGCTGGGATTACAGGCATGAGCCACCGCACCTGGCCCTGACCTCTTAACTTCCTATTTCAGTTCTCTTCATTATGCCACTCAATAGGTTCTTTTGACAATAAGCCACTTATTGATAACAGGAGCTTCTAACATTGTCTCATTGATTCTTTACTTCCACCTGCCTCAACATTTATTGGTCATAAATTTCAATCAATTTATTTTACTACCGGACTCTATCAATATCTACTAAGTTATTGAGAAAGATTGTTCCTAGATCATGTGTCAGAAATTAGAACCTTGGCACTTCAAACTCACTATACCAAAGGGACAGTTAAGCTTGGGAATGGAGTCACACAAAAGTGTCTCTTTTTTTCCCAAATAGATAGCTACAATTTCACAACCCTGTGTCATAGCCTTATACATAAGCCAGGTTCCCAGAGTGCTAGAAGGCTACATATCTCCCCAGGGTGGCCTCCTTCACAAATTGCTCACAAGGAAATTCTTGTGGTTCTCAAAATCATTCAGGATACCTATCCTTCCGATAAGCTAGCACTAAAACCAAGTTCTGTTAAATATCACCCAGCAACGTCAGTTACCGGGTTATCCTCACAGGTATAGGACAAGAACAAGACTAGAATTCATCCCTCTGCCTACCTTGAAGTGAATGCATAAATGACTTTTTTTCCTCTATTCCCTCTTTTCGCATGTTTATCTGATGTAAAATGTACGTGTACTGAGTGCATAATTGGCTTTTTCCTCTCCTCCCTATTTCACATGTAAAATATAGATTCACTGAGCACTAATCAGAGCCTCACAAGAATGTAAACACTGGCCTCACTGCCTACCCTCACTCCCCTTTTTAAATCCTCCCTCTCCTGCTTGCCCTTTCCCCTTTAAATTTTGAAGTTTCCAAAACTCTCTTTGGAAAAAGCACAGGCCACAGATCCTCCTGTGATTTGTGTTTCTTTTTCCTAGGTGTGTCCTTAACCTTAGCTAAATCGGCCTCTAATCGATTGATACCTGCCTGAGTCACTTTTTGGTTTACAGTTATCAGACTATGTTTTAGCCACACTTCAGAAGCTTATTTATCTAATTCTGAATTTAGTGCTTGAACGTAGAAAAGAGTAGAATTTTTTAAAATTATTATTATTTTATTTTTGTAGATTTAGGGGGTACAAGTTCAGGTTTGTTACATGGATATTTATATTGTGTAGTGGTGGAGCTTGGGCTTCTAGTGTACCCATCACCCAAATCGTGTACATTGTACCCAACAGGTAATTTTTCAATCCTCACCCTCCAACCACTCTCCCCACTTTTGGAGTCCTCAGTGTTTATTTTATTTTTTGTCTGCATGTCTATGTGTATCCATTGTTCAGCTTCCACTTATAAATGAAAACATAGTGGATTTGTTTCTGAGTTATTTCACTCCAGTTCCATCCATGTTGCTGCAAAATACCTGATTTCATTCTTTTTATGGCTGCATAGTATTCCATGATGCATATATACCACATTTCTTTCCTTTTCTTTTCTTCTTTCTTTCCTTTTTTCTTTCTTTCTTTCTTATTTTCTTCAGACAGGGTCTCACTCCATCATCCAGGCTGGAGTGAAGTGACAGATTTCGACTCACTGCAACCTCTGCCTCCTGGGTTCCAGCTATCCTCCCACCTCAGACTCCTGAGTAGCTGGAACTACAGGCAAATGCTACCATATCTGAATAATTTTTGTATTTTTTTGTAGAGTCGGAGTTTCACCATGTTGCCCAGGCTGGTCTCGAACTCCTGGCCTCAAGAGACCCTCCTGACTCAGTCTCCCAAAGTGCTGGGATTACAGGCATGAGACACCATGCCAGGCCATATACCACATTTTCTTTATCCAATCATCTGTTGATGGACACTTAGGTTGATTCCATGACTTTGCAATTGTGATTAGTGCTGCAACAAACAAGCAAATACAGGTGTCTTTTTGATCCAATCATTTGTTGATGGACACTTAGGTTTATTCCATGACATTGCAATTGTGAATAGTGCCGCAATAAACAAGCAAGTACAGGTGACTTTTTGACACAAGGATTTTTTTTTCCTTTGGGTAGATACACAGTAGTGAAATTCCTGGATCAAATTGTAGTTCTATTTTTAGTTCTTTGAGAAATCTCCATACAGCTTTCTGTAGAGTTTCCATACAGGTTTCCATAATTAACATTCCCACAAACAGCGTATAAACATTCCCTTTTCTCCTTATCCTCGCCAGCATCTGTTATTTTTTTTTTGTCTTCTTAGTAATAGACATTCTGACTGGTGTAAAATGCTATCTTATTGTGGTTTTATTTTGCATTTCTCAAATGATGAGTGATGTTGAACATTTTTTCATGTTTGTTGCCGCTTATATGTCTTTTTTTAAGAAATGTCTTTTCTGTCCTTTGCCCACTTTTTAATGGGGTTATTTGTTTCTTTACTTTTGAGTTGTTTGAGTTTCTTGTAGATTCTGGATGTTAGTTTTTTGTTGGATGTGCAATTTGCAAACTTTTTTCCTATTTTGTAAGTGGTCTTTTACCCTGTTGATTTTTTTCTTTTGCTGTGCAGAAGCTTTTTGATTTAATTAAGTCACATTTGTTTATTTTTGTTTTTTGCTGCATTTGCTTTTGAGAATTAGTCATAAATTGTTTTCCTAGATCAATGTTCTGAAGAGTTTTTTTTACTAGGTTTTCTTCTAGGATTCTTATAGTTTCAGGTCTAGAGAATTTTGATATTTAAAATCATTGTAAAGGAGATTATAGGATTAATTGTCCAAACCAAGACACTGTGGAGATGAAAAAGGAAACTTAGTAATTTTGCTCTGACAAAAGACCTAAACTGGGTGGCCAAGACCACCTGGATATGTGGTCACTCTATAACTCAATATTTCTGAGGGGAGTTGTCAAGGTGAACCCTAGAAATGTTTTTAATGTTAATGTCTTCCCATAATAAATTATGCCTAAATAGCATTACATGAACATGAAAAGACATCAAGAGTAAAACTATCCAGTAGCCTTTTCATTTTCTAATATTAAAATTAAAATGCTATTATCAGCTACTGTGAAGATAGCAGGTGGCCTGTGTACATATCACTGATTTAGGATAAATTCACCTGAGCTCCAGATGATATAAATGTCCAGCCAGGCAGCTTTGCCAGCATCAGGTGATCCATGGAGCCAGGTGGGCATCTTGACAATGAGAGCCCATAAATAAACTGACAATGGCTGCTATTGCAGGTCCTTGAAAGAACTTCAACATTCTTCAGAAACTGGAGAATCTTACCACGTAAGAAAATCCAATGATGAACTACTAGGATTATATTTAATTTGCCTGTCTGTCATATTATTTTGCATTTGTGGTTGGCAAAATAGCTTTTGCATTTTATTAATATCACTTATCAAATGCCTTTTCATCTGAAATGTACTAGATCTGCCATTACCAGAGAAATTTCAGAATGGAGCCTCAAACTATGAAATGTAAGATATTTAACTTCGTATATTGGATCTTTCTAGGAAAAGCTTATATATGACATGCAGTTAGACACAAATTCCCTGTGGGTGAAGTTTCTAGAGTTTGCCTTAGTCCATTACATGAATCCATTGCATCAATCACCAAGAAACAAGTCTAAAATTATAGATTAAAAATGAGCGAGGAAAGGGATGTTACCTCTGGAAAAATAAATAGATCCTCTTAGTGCAATTGGCTGTTTCAATTTTAGTAGAAATTATTTGGCATTTACTTAACCAAACTATCAATTTTGCATCTTAAATATTATTTTGTCCCTATAATCTCAAATCTTCTTCAAATTACAGTGTTTCAAAGTGACGGGACCGCATGATATAAACAGTTCTACATACATATTCATGAACTTTCATAGTACTGTTATAAAAATTCAAATATAAAATGTATTTACAATGATTAACAATGTATACTGATAGAAGAATCATTTTGATTACTGATTCTATTTAGGTTAATCTGAGCAAAGCAACCCTAAGATAGGTGTTTGCTTCAATCTTGGTAGTCCCGATAATGCAAAATTTAAACAACATTTATAAAAAGAGAACATTGATGTCAAAGAGAACATAATGACGTGGTTCCATATACAGAGACCCTACTACATGCTGGACACTATGTGAGAGATTTTGTGTTCAGTATCTCATTTAATCCTTAAAACAGTCCTGAGAGATATATCATATATTCCCATTTTGAAGTAAAAGGAATTAAAGTTTAATAAGTTTAATTAACATCCTTCATATTACACAATAGTAAGTGAATGAGCAGGGCCTCAAATCCAGGTGTGATTTTAAATCTCGTAACTATTAACTGTAGAAGAGATCCACAACTCCAAATTCTTAATATCAAAGAAAAAAGCATTGTGAAATACCTATGATAGATGATCAGCTTACAGTCACACAGCAAGTAATTACTGCCGTCTCTCCTTACCCTCTCTCTACAGCAAAAATTTACCCAAGCTAATAATATTTAATTTCAGCTGAAAAAAATTTTATGAATCAATTTAAGATGATATATGTAAATACCTTAGCACTATGGCTTAGCTGACTCTTTAAAAGTTTAGTACTCTTCCTGCACTAATCTATTTCGTGATAATATGTTCAGAAAGCTATTAACTGTCATCACTCACCAGAAAATCATTATATGATAACATTAATTACATATAATACATCTGATCTTGTCTAATATGCTAATATTTTATGTTATAAAGACATATCAGCAGATACTTAATGGATTCTTCTTTGGTTACCATAGTACCTGTAAAGCTGTCCTTTGTTTAGATGTCATACTTGATCTTATCATGGAATTTTAAAATGGATGTAAGTTATGTTCTGGGTATCTTCATTTTATAAAAATGTCTTATAAATATAAGACTGATTTGAATGTGTAGGAAATAAATTTATATATTTTACAGCTTGCTGTTTTCATTGATATAAAAATATTACCAAGCAAGGTAATGATACTTTATATTTTGTACCACAGAATAATAATCATTGATATTTTCATACCAAACAAGGTAATGACACTTTATATTTTCTACCATGAAATAGTAATCACAGAACTATAGAGCTCCCAGGTGGTCTTACAATGCAATAAGCCCTAACTTATTTTGCAGTGAAGGAAACAAAGATCAAAAAGGTCTAAGTGGTCTTTTCATCTCTGTAACCTACATCTCTAGTCTTCCTTTCTGGGTACTTTCCACAAGAATTTAGTTATCAGATCACAGTTTCTTTGCAATTCTGGAGCAAGGCTATAAATTACAATTCTATACTGTGTGAAAGTTAAGTGCCAACTGCACTACCATTTTAAAAGCAATTATAAATCCTGGTTCCAATATTGCAAGGTTAAGGTCATCCTGCCCTCTGAATATCTGTTGACATCTAAAGAAACAGTTCCAGTGATAGCATCTAAGACATATATTTAGTTGCTTTATTCTTGGTCCTTGAACCAGATTAGCAGGTCAAAAGTAAAAAATAAAATAAAATCCACTGACAATTCTAAAATGAAAGGACAATAATATGCTGTTTTTAATTATACAAAACCAAAATCAAAGCATGTATTCACAGCCTCAGGAAATTACACTTTGTGGGCCAAGGAATCTACATTTCAAAACAATTGTAGCAATCATACCTGGCTATCTTCCGGGCGGGTCAGTGTCTTTTTAATAATAATTTTCGAAGAAATATTTCCTGTAAAAATTGCTCAATGACACTAAAGTACAATTAATTACTAGAATTTTTTCCTTTGCTACAATACAAACTCATGAATAGTAAAAAATATGTCTCTGTAGCTCACACTGATAAAATGCTAAGTTCTTCTCTTTTCTGTCACTTTTATCAGTGACTAAGTTGTCTGAGAAATTTCTTCCTGAATTTCAGAGTTAATAGTTCAATTCATCAGTGTCTTATAGATCCTAACTTTCTTCCCTTTTAAGGCATTGCCATGTATCTCCAACTATGTTAACATTTTTTAATAATGTAAAGGTTTATAAAGCCAGGAATTATTTAGGTGGCTGTGGTAGTTTTAAATTCTATCTCAAAATTCTTTAATACTTCTCCCTTCCAAAACTGGTACATACTTCTACTCCTCTTCAGAGGGGGCTGTACTTAGGGACTCATTTCTAATGAATATAACGTGATGGAAGTGACAGACAACTTCTGAGACTAGATTATAAAATGAATCACTGAATTTCCTCCCTGATCTCTCTCTCGGATCACCTGCACCGGGAGGAGCCAGATTCTGCATCAGTCCTATGGATAGGTTCGTGTGGTAAGGAACTGAGACCTCTTCGCAACGACATAAAATCTATTTTGCTCGTTTAATCATTCTTTCATTTGATATTTATCATGTACATGCTATAGGTAAAACACTCACTTATTAATTAATTATTAATGCTATTGAAAGGTTTTAAGCAAGAAAGTAATAATTTGGATTGGATATGGGGGAGTGTGATCTTTTTATAAGGCAAATTGGTTTATGTCATTATCCTGCTTAGAGCCCATCAAGGATTATCATTGCACAAAGAATGAATTACAAACTCCTTAAACTGGTTTATACATCGCCTGCCTACCTGTTTGGCCTCATCTCAAACAACTGTCATCATCATCCACTATAAAGCTATATCAGCTATTTTATTTTCCTCAAACAAGTCAAGCTGCATCCTAAACTTGTTCTTCCTCCTCACTGTTCTTCTCTCATTTAGGTCCAAGATTAAATGTCATCTCTTTAAGAGGGCCCTTGTGATCCCAAAATATCATGGAGCCATCATTTCTCTTTTACATAAACATTTTCCCATTCTGCTTACAGCACTTATTGCCATCAAATATTTTATCTACCTATTATTTATATTTCCCTATTTAAATGTCAGTTCCAGCCTAGCAGAGTGCTTAACTGTTGTATTTACTACTGTATTTCTGGGATTGAGAGCAATAGTTCACAGTCACTGCTCACTAATTATTTTTTAATCAATGAATATATAAATAAATGAATGCATGGCTGAATAATAGGAAAAAGAAAACTCATTGATAAGTCCTATATTATTGACTTGAGCAAACAGATGAAAAGTGGTGTTACTTAAAGAGACTGAAGACTAAAGGAGAAAAAGTTATAAGTGTATAAGAAATCAAGAATTTTGGTTGACTCATATTAAGTTTCATATTGCTATTCGATATCAAAGCAAAGATATCAAGTTGTCAGGTAGTTACCACTCTGGCTCTCAATGGCAAACCTGAGGATGGAATAAAATCAACAAACATCCAAACTTTTCCTGTGCCATTTATAATAATAACAATCAGAACAATGAACATACCATTTTATATATATAAATATATATATTTATATATACTATATATTTATATATTTATATATACTATATATGTATTTATATATTTATATATACTATATATATTTATATATTTATATATACTATATATATTTTTATACATATATATACTATATATATATAGAGAGAGAGAGAGTAAAATAGTATGGCCCACTAATGTATTAACGGGGGCTATCTACTATTTTAAATTTTATTTAGACTAACTCATCTAATCTCAACAACTTCATTTTAGCAGACACTGTTTCTATTTCATTTTATACAATTCAAGAAATTGAAAAACCAAGAGCCTAAATAGCATGCCTAAAGACACTGTGTTAATAATTTGTGAATATATGTTTGAGAGTCAGGCAATCTGATTTTATAGCCCACATTTTAAAAAGCTATTTTATTTTAGATTCGGGGGGTACATGTGCATGTTTGTTACATGGGTATATTGTGTAATGGTGGGGATTGAGCTTCTAATGTCCCCATTATCCAAATAGTGAACATTTTAACCAATAATTTTCAACCCTCACTCCTCTCCCTTGCTCCCTGCTTGTGGAGTCTCTGGTGTCTATTATTACTATCTTTATGTCCACGCATACCCATTGTATAACCTACATTTTTAACCATGATGGTGAATAAAAAGAAGAGAGGTAAAGAATAAGCTTCAGGTTGCTCTAATATTAGGAATGAACCATATAGGAATATAAAGAAGAGGCAAAAAGCAGAGAGGAAAATTAAGTAGAAAAAAACACACAATGTGTTTTCTCAAAATTTGAGAGAAAATAATAATTCCAGAAGAAAGAGATTATTTTTGTTAGATATTTCTGAGAGTTGTAAAAGAGGAAGATAGAAAAGTCTCCACTGATTTTCAAAGTAGATTCAGGTTAAAAAAAAAAGAGGCTGGTGGAGGAGGAGCCAAGATGGCCGAATAGGAACAGCTCCTGTCTACAGCTCCCAGCGTGAGCGACGCAGAAGACGGGTGATTTCTGCATTTCCATCTGAGGTACCGGGTTCATCTCACTAGGGAGTGCCAGACAGTGGGCGCAGGCCAGTGTGTGAGCGCACCGTGCGCGAGCCGAAGCAGGGCGAGGCATTGCCTCACCTGGGAAGCGCAAGGGGTCAGGGAGTTCCCTTTCCGAGTCAAAGAAAGGGGTGACGGACGCACCTGGAAAATCGGGTCACTCCCACCCGAATATTGCGCTTTTCAGACCGGCTTAAGAAACGGCGCACCACGAGACTATATCCCACACACACCTGGCTCAGAGGGTCCTACGCCCACAGAATCTCGCTGATTGCTAGCACAGCAGTCTGAGATCAAACTGCAAGACGGCAGCGAGGCTGGGGGAGGGGCGCCCGCCATTGCCCAGGCTTGCTTAGGTAAACAAAGCAGCCGGGAAGCTCGAACTGGGTGGAGCCCACCACAGCTCAAGGAGGCCTGCCTGCCTCTGTAGGCTCCACCTCTGGGGGCAGGGCACAGACAAACAAAAAGACAGCAGTAACCTCTGCAGACTTAAGTGTCCCTGTCTGACAGCTTTGAAGAGAGCAGTGGTTCTCCCAGCACGCAGCTGGAGATCTGAGAACGGGCAGACTGCCTCCTCAAGTGGGTCCCTGACCCCTGACCCCTGAGCAGCCTAACTGGGAGGCACCCCCCAGCAGGGGCACACTGACACCTCACACGGCAGGGTATTCCAACAGACCTGCAGCTGAGGGTCCTGTCTGTTAGAAGGAAAACTAACAACCAGAAAGGACATCTACACCGAAAACCCATCTGTACATCACCATCATCAAAGACCAAAAGTAGATAAAACCACAAAGATGGGGAAAAAACAGAACAGAAAAACTGGAAACTCTAAAACGCAGAGCGCCTCTCCTCCTCCAAAGGAACGCAGTTCCTCACCAGCAACAGAACAAAGCTGGATGGAGAATGATTTTGACGAGCTGAGAGAAGAAGGCTTCAGACGATCAAATTACTCTGAGCTACGGGAGGACATTCAAACCAAAGGCAAAGAAGTTGAAAACTTTGAAAAAAATTTAGAAGAATGTATAACTAGAATAACCAATACAGAGAAGTGCTTAAAGGAGCTGATGGAGCTGAAAACCAAGGCTCGAGAACTACGTGAAGAATGCAGAAGCCTCAGGAGCCGATGCGATCAACTGGAAGAAAGGGTATCAGCAATGGAAGATGAAATGAATGAAATGAAGCGAGAAGGGAAGTTTAGAGAAAAAAGAATAAAAAGAAATGAGCAAAGCCTCCAAGAAATATGGGACTATGTGAAAAGACCAAATCTACGTCTGATTGGTGTACCTGAAAGTGATGTGGAGAATGGAACCAAGTTGGAAAACACTCTGCAGGATATTATCCAGGAGAACTTCCCCAATCTAGCAAGGCAGGCCAACGTTCAGATTCAGGAAATACAGAGAACGCCACAAACATACTCCTCGAGAAGAGCAACTCCAAGACACATAATTGTCAGATTCACCAAAGTTGAAATGAAGGAAAAAATGTTAAGGGCAGCCAGAGAGAAAGGTCGGGTTACCCTCAAAGGAAAGCCCATCAGACTAACAGCGGATCTCTCAGCAGAAACCCTACAAGCCAGAAGAGAGTGGGGGCCAATATTCAACATTCTTAAAGAAAAGAATTTTCAACCCAGAATTTCATATCCAGCCAAACTAAGCTTCATAAGTGAAGGAGAAATAAAATACTTTATAGACAAGCAAATGCTGAGAGATTTTGTCACCACCAGGCCTGCCCTAAAAGAGCTCCTGAAGGAAGCGCTAAACACGGAAAGGAACAACCGATACCAGCCACTGCAAAATCATGCCAAAATGTAAAGACCATCGAGACTAGGAAGAAACTGCATCAACTAATGAGCAAAATCACCAGCTAACATCATAATGACAGGATCAAATTCACACATAACAATATTAACTTTAAATATAAATGGACTAAATTCTGCAATTAAAAGACACAGACTGGCAAGTTGGATAAAGAGTCAAGACCCATCAGTGTGCTGTATTCAGGAAACCCATCTCACGTGTGGAGACACACATAGGCTCAAAATAAAAGGATGGAGGAAGATCTACCAAGCCAATGGAAAACAAAAAAAGGCAGGGGTTGCAATCCTAGTCTCTGATAAAACAGACTTTAAACCAACAAAGATCAAAAGAGACAAAGAAGGCCATTACATAATGGTAAAGGGATCAATTCAACAAGAGGAGCTAACTATCCTAAATATTTATGCACCCAATACAGGAGCACCCAGATTCATAAAGCAAGTCCTCAGTGACCTACAAAGAGGCTTAGACTCCCACACATTAATAATGGGAGACTTTAACACCCCACTGTCAACATTAGACAGATCAACGAGACAGAAAGTCAACAAGGATACCCAGGAATTGAACTCAGCTCTGCACCAAGCAGACCTAATAGACATCTACAGAACTCTCCACCCCAAATCAACAGAATATACATTTTTTTCAGCACCACACCACACCTATTCCAAAATTGACCACATAGTTGGAAGTAAAGCTCTCCTCAGCAAATGTAAAAGAACAGAAATTATAACAAACTATCTCTCAGACCACAGTGCAATCAAACTAGAACTCAGGATTAAGAATCTCACTCAAAGCCGCTCAACTACATGGAAACTGAACAACCTGCTCCTGAATGACTACTGGGTACATAACGAAATGAAGGCAGAAATAAAGATGTTCTTTGAAACCAACGAGAACAAAGACACCACATACCAGAATCTCTGGGACGCATTCAAAGCAGTGTGTAGAGGGAAATTTATAGCACTAAATGCCTACAAGAGAAAGCAGGAAAGATCCAAAATTGACACCCTAACATCACAATTAAAAGAACTAGAAAAGCAAGAGCAAACACATTCAAAAGCTAGCAGAAGGCAAGAAATAACTAAAATCAGAGCAGAACTGAAGGAAATAGAGACACAAAAAAACCCTTCAAAAAATCAATGAATCCAGGAGCTGGTTTTTTGAAAGGATCAACAAAATTGATAGACCGCTAGCAAGACTAATAAAGAAAAAAAGAGAGAAGAATCAAATAGACACAATAAAAAATGATAAAGGGGATATCACCACCGATCCCACAGAAATACAAACTACCATCAGAGAATACTACAAACACCTCTACGCAAATAAACTAGAAAATCTAGAAGAAATGGATACATTCCTCGACACATACACTCTCCCAAGACTAAACCAGGAAGAAGTTGAATCTCTGAATAGACCAATAACAGGCTCTGAAATTGTGGCAATAATCAATAGTTTACCAACCAAAAAGAGTCCAGGACCAGATGGATTCACAGCCGAATTCTACCAGAGGTACAAGGAGGAACTGGTACCATTCCTTCTGAAACTATTCCAATCAATAGAAAAAGAGGGAATCCTCCCTAACTCATTTTATGAGGCCAGCATCATTCTGATACCAAAGCCGGGCAGAGACACAACCAAAAAAGAGAATTTTAGACCAATATCCTTGATGAACATTGATGCAAAAATCCTCAATAAAATACTGGCAAACCGAATCCAGCAGCACATCAAAAAGCTTATCCACCATGATCAAGTGGGCTTCATCCCTGGGATGCAAGGCTGGTTCAATATACGCAAATCAATAAATGTAATCCAGCATATAAACAGAGCCAAAGACAAAAACCACATGAATATCTCAATAGATGCAGAAAAAGCCTTTGACAAAATTCAACAACCCTTCATGCTAAAAACTCTCAATAAATTAGGTATTGATGGGACGTATTTCAAAATAATAAGAGCTATCTATGACAAACCCACAGCCAATATCATACTGAATGGGCAAAAACTGGAAGCATTCCCTTTGAAAACTGGCACAAGACAGGGATGCCCTCTCTCACCACTACTATTCAACATAGTGTTGGAAGTTCTGGCCAGGACAATCAGGCAGGAGAAGGAAATAAATGGTATTCAATTAGGAAAAGAGGAAGTCAAATTGTCCCTGTTTGCAGACGACATGATTGTTTATCTAGAAAACCCCATCGTCTCAGCCCAAAATCTCCTTAAGCTGATAAGCAACTTCAGCAAAGTCTCAGGATACAAAATCAATGTACAAAAATCACAAGCATTCTTATACACCAACAACAGACAAACAGAGAGCCAAATCATGGGTGAACTCCCATTCACAATTGCTTCAAAGAGAATAAAATACCTAGGAATCCAACTTACAAGGGATGTGAAGGACCTCTTCAAGGAGAACTACAAACCACTGCTCAAGGAAATAAAAGAGGACACAAACAAATGGAAGAACATTCCATGCTCATGGGTAGGAAGAATCAATATCGTGAAAATGGCCATACTGCCCAAGGTAATTTACAGATTCAATGGCATCCCCATCAAGCTACCAATGACTTTCTTCACAGAATTGGAAAAAACTACTTTAAAGTTCATATGGAACCAAAAAAGAGCCCGCATTGCCAAGTCAATCCTAAGCCAAAAGAACAAAGCTGGAGGCATCACACTACCTGACTTCAAACTATACTACAAGGCTACAGTAACCAAAACAGCATGGTACTGGTACCAAAACAGAGATATAGATCAATGGAACAGAACAGAGCCCTCAGAAATAATGCCGCATATCTACAACTATCTGATCTTTGACAAACCTGAGAAAAACAAGCAATGGGGAAAGGATTCCCTATTTAATAAATGGTGCTGGGAAAACTGGCTAGCCATATGTAGAAAGCTGAAACTGGATCCCTTCCTTACACCTTATACAAAAATCAATTCAAGATGGATTAAAGATTTAAACGTTAGACCTAAAACCATAAAAACCCTAGAAGAAAACCTAGGCATTACCATTCAGGACATAGGCGTGGGCAAGGACTTCATGTCCAAAACACCAAAAGCAATGGCAACAAAAGCCAAAATTGACAAATGGGATCTAATTAAACTAAAGAGCTTCTGCACAGCAAAAGAAACTACCATCAGAGTGAACAGGCAACCTACAACATGGGAGAAAATTTTCGCAACCTACTCATCTGACAAAGGGCTAATATCCAGAATCTACAATGAACTCAAATTTACAAGAAAAAAACAAACAACCCCATCAAAAAGTGGGCGAAGGACATGAACAGACACTTCTCAAAAGAAGACATTTATGCAGCCAAAAAACACATGAAGAAATGCTCATCATCACTGGCCATCAGAGAAATGCAAATCAAAACCACTATGAGATATCATCTCACACCAGTTAGAATGGCAATCATTAAAAAGTCAGGAAACAACAGGTGCTGGAGAGGATGTGGAGAAATAGGAACACTTTTACACTGTTGGTGGGACTGTAAACTAGTTCAACCATTGTGGAAGTCAGTGTGGCGATTCCTCAGGGATCTAGAACTAGAAATACCATTTGACCCAGCCATCCCATTACTGGGTATATACCCAAAGGACTATAAATCATGCTGCTATAAAGACACATGCACACGTATGTTTATTGCGGCACTATTCACAATAGCAAAGACTTGGAACCAACCCAAATGTCCAACAATGATAGACTGGATTAAGAAAATGTGGCACATATACACCATGGAAAACTATGCAGCCATAAAAAATGATGAGTTCATATCCTTTGTAAGGACATGGATGAAATTGGAAACCATCATTCTCAGTAAACTATCGCAAGAACAAAAAACCAAACACCGCATATTCTCACTCATAGGTGGGAATTGAACAATGAGATCACATGGACACAGGAAGGGGAATATCACACTCTGGGGACTGTGGTGGGGTCGGGGGAGGGGGGAGGGATAACATTGGGAGATATACCTAATGCTAGATGATGAGTTAGTGGGTGCAGCGCACCAGCATGGCACATGTATACATATGTAACTAACCTGCACAATGTGCACATGTACCCTAAAACTTAGAGTATAATAAAAAAAAAAAAAAAAAAAAAGAAAAGGACATTAAAGTATACACAAACTGGACCTGTAAAAAAAAAAAAAAAAAAAAAAAGAAATGGGAGGGAGGAATTGAGTATACTCTGTTATAAGTTAACCGCACTATACATGCGAAGCAGTATAGTATTGTTTGAAGGTAAACTCGGATTTGTTTAAAATGTTTATGGCAAGCTCTAGGATAACCTCTAAATTTTTTAAAAAGAAATATAATTGATACATTAAAAGAGGAAACAAAATGAAATAAAATAAAATGTTCATTTAAAATAAAAAAAGCAGAAAAAGAAGGAAAAAAGAAAAAAAAAAAAAAGAGGCTGGTGAGTGCTGGTCTCCTGAAGAGCAGTCTCTTGTGGTATGGAGTAGGTGAAAACCTAAAGAGAGCATTAAGGAGAGTAGAAAGTGAAGAAGTCAGAGTGAGATTTGGTGTACACATACAATAATAAATAAATAAATATTATGGCCAAGTGGAATTTATCCCTGGCATGCGAGACTGTTTTAACATATGTTAATCCGTCAACATAATACATTACATTAATGGGACAAAAAAAATCACATAATCATCTCAATTGATGTGGAAAAGGCACTTGAAAAAGTTCAACATCTTTTCTTGATAAAAACTCTAAACATTTCAGGTATAGAAGGAAAGTTTCTCAACATAATAAAAGTCATTTATGTAAAACCCACAGACGATATTATAATTATTACAGAAATACTGGAAGGTTTTCTGCTAAGATCCAGTGCAAGGCAAGGATGCCCATGATACTATATGTAAGAATAATCCAAAAATTACACACACACACACACACAGAAACAGAGGGAGAGAGAGAACTGTTCACACTAACAAATTTAGTGTCATGACAGGACACAAAATCAACATACAAAAAATGAGCATTTTTATACACAAATAACAAACTAACTGAAAAAGAAATCATAAAACTATCTCATTTATGATGGCATTAAAATACTAGAAATATATTTAACTAAGGAAGTGAATGATCTGTACACTAAAACTATAAAATGCTGATGAAAGAGATTGAATAAAACAAAAAAATGAAAAAATATTTTCATGAAAACATAAAACTCCCCAAACAGCCAAATAAATTCTGAGAACAATAAAGTAGACATGACACTTCCTGACTTAAAACTATCTTACAAAGCTATATAAATAAAAACAGTAGGTGGGTTAATCCTGATTTGCATCACTATAAAGAAACACCTGAAGCTGGGTAATTTATAAAGAAAAAAGGTTTATTTTGTCTCACAGTTCTGCAGGCTGTACAGGAAGCATGGTACTGGCATCTGCTCCTGGTGAGGCCTCAGGAAGTTTACAACATGGTGCAAGGAAAAGGGGAAGCTAGTTTATCAATTGGTGAGAGTTGGAGCAAGAAAGAGAGGCAGAGGTGGTCCCAGATTTTTAAACAGCCGGATCGTGTGTGAACTAATTGAGCTAGAACTCACTTATCACCAAGGGATGGTGCTAAACCTTTCATGAGGGATCTGCTCCCATGATCTAATCACCTCCCACCAGGTCCCACTTCCAGCTTTGGGAATCACTTTTCAACATGAGATTTGAAGAGGACAACATACAACCCATATCAGTGTGGTGCTGGCATAAAAAGAAATACATAAAACAGTGGTACAGAATGGAGAGCCCAGAAGTAAATCCAAACATATATGGTTCAAACTAATTTTTGACAAGGATATCAAGAGGAAACTGTGAGGAAAGGATGGTCTCTTCAATAATTGGTGCTAAGCAAACTAGATTTCCCCATGTAGAAGATTGAAATTGAACCCCTATCTTACCTCTTCCACAAAAGTAAACTCAAAATGGATAAAAGACCGGAAAATATAAAACTCTTAGAAGAGAATATAAGGGAAAAACTGTTTTACGTTGCCCTTGGCAGTGATTTTTTGGAGATCACACCAAAAGCTCAGGCCATAAAAACAAAATTAAATAAGTGGAATAACATCAAATTGAAAAACTTCTGCACATCAAACAAAGCAATCAACAAAATGAATGGCAGTTTGTACATTAGAGAGGATATATTTACAAGTCATATAGCTGATAAGGGGTTAGTATCCAAACTTTATAAAGAACTCATACAGCTCAATAGTAGAAAAACAAATAACCTGATAAAAAATAGGCAAAAGACCTGAATAGACATTTATCCAAAGACATCAAAATCACTAACAAACATATGAAAAACGCTCAACATCATCGATCACCAGAAAATGAAAATCAAAACCACTATGAGATACCACTTCACAGGCATCAGGAGGGCTATTATCAAAAAGTCAGAAGATAACAAATATTAGAGAGAGTGTGGAGAAAAAACCTCTTGTGCACTGTTGGTAGGAATGTAGACCAGTACAGCCATTATGAAAAGGAGTAGGAAGATTTTTTTAAGAAATTAAAAATAAAACTACCATATTATCCAAAAATTCCTCTTCTGGGCATATACCTAAAAAAGTGAAATCACCGTTTGATAAAGATATCTGAAATCCCATGTTCGCTGCTGCATTATTCAAAATAGCTAAGACATGGACACAATCTAAGTGTCTGTTGATGGATGAATGAAGAAAGAAGAAAATATATATATGTATAAAGTAGAATTATAGACTATCATATATATAGAATGGAATATTAAATATTATGTTATATAAAAATATCATTATATAATATATGTAATATACAATACATAAAATGGAATAATATAATATTCCATCATATATAATAGCATATTCAATTTTATATATATGTAATGGAATATTTTATATATATAATGGTCTATTCCATTATATATATACATATATATAAAAGAATATTCTTCAGCCTTAAAAATAAACTCAATACTGCCATTTATCACAACATGAAAAAGCTTGGAAGACATTATGCTAAGTGAAATAAGCCAGACACAGAAGGCAAAATATTGCATGATTTCACTTGTATGTGAAATCTATAAAAAAGTCAAATATACAAACAGAGAGGATCAAACAGTGGTTAATGAGAGGAGGGAGTGAGAATAAGGATGAAATTGGGACATATAGGTTAGAGGATATAAAGTGGCAGATATGCACGATGAACACTTCTCAAGATCTAATGTACAACATGAGGACTATTGGTAATAAAATTGTACTATATTTACGATTCATTCTAAATGAGCAGATTTTAGAAAATGGCTCTGGAAACAAAACAAACACAAAATGGGTAACAATGTGAGATGATGGATATGTTAATTTGGTTCACTATATTAACCTCTTTTGCTATCTATATGTATCCCACAGCATGTTGAATATCTTAAATATACACAGTAAAATTTATTTTTAAAAATTAAATGTATAGTATTTTATGTGCATAAGATGATAGTGATGAAGCTATTAGACTACATGTTCCTTGAGATCAATTTACAAACCTAGGAAAATATTGTAATACTAATCAAGTGTGTGTCTCAAATTTCCA